>NT_187498.1:0-210658 GCF_000001405.40 Homo sapiens | reverse complement strand
GATCTTGCATTTAGAAAATCGTAAGAAATTTACTAAAAAGTATTAGGACTCATGAACAAATTTAAGAATGTAACACTGTATAAGATTGGTATACAAAAATAACTGTATTTCTTTACCAAGAAATCAAGAATCCAAAAATGGAATTACAAAAATAAATCTTGTTACAATAGAATTAAAGCTGGGGAAGCTTAAACTTGAACACTAAAAACTACAATACATGGTTAGCATTGGAAACACCCAGATACCATCCCTGAGCCTTCTCTCCTTGGCTCTGAGGGCTTTACCTTCACGGGGTGAGGAAAGGGGTTGCATTCTTGGCTTTTACATTATATTAGGTGGGTTCGGGTTGAGGTATCTGCAATTCAAATGAGTATTACAATCTCTACTTTATTGATAAGAGACTGAGGCCCACCAAGAGAGGGAATGACAGTCCATATCCTGGAAGGCGAATTGTCAGGCACTGATTTCCGCTATTTAACCCCTGCCAATCATCAAGTATTTAAAGGATCCCCAGATACCATACCAATAGGTGTTCAAGAGAGAGGCCTGTAATCTAGGCGTCTGAGAAAACAAGGCTATAGATTCCAATATTAGAGACAACAGGGCTCTGGGAAGATTAAGGTTGAGTTTTCTGGATCTGCAGAATAGAGTCACTGAGGACCAATTGCAAGATCAGAGGAGATGAAAGAACAAGTCAGGGCATGCTTAGGAAAAGAGAATACCAGGGATAGGTTTTAGGCAAGAGTCACACTGAGGAAGGGCAGGTTCTTGGCGTCGCTCAGGAAGAAATCCAAAAGCAAGCCTATGGTGGAAGAAAGCAGCTCTACGGAGGCATTGGCGGTGTTACAACCCTGCAACCACTCCGGCAGGGCAGGGAGCCCTCCGTGGGTTGTGCTCCCAGAGCAGCAGCCTAGGGGTGGCTTGTAGTCACTTTTATAATTCACTTTTAATGGCATGCTAATTAAGGGGAGGGTTATTCAGAAATAGCTAGAAATGGGCAGTAACTTCCATCTGTTTCCATGGCAAGGGGTGGGGACTTCTCGTGATGACATGGCATTGGCAAACTGTCATGGCACTGGAGGGAGCGTCTTCTGGTGATCTGAGGTGTGAGGTGCTTTTGCTGCCTCTCCCAGTTTCCTGCGTGCCTCTTACCTGAAAGCCTATCAACACCCCCATCTGCCCACCTACAAACGTCACTGCCCTTTCACCCCACCCCCGTTTCACACGCACTCCCACATCAACCCTGAGCATTCAAGCCTGCGTTTCCCTGTTGGGAACATCGGTGGTAGCCAGAGCTCTGAGAAACCCCTATGCAGAACTCCTTGCCTAGTTTGTGGCAGAAATCAGGGAAGGAAAGGCAAATTTCAGGTCTTTCTCACAATAAATAAATAAAGATAGGTAGATTTGATTGATTGATGGATGGATGAAACGTGGGAGTCTACGGGCAAATATTTATCAGACACTGGAAGTGAAAGTTGTCACAAAGATTATGGAGTGCACCTGTCTTATGACCCTGTTATTTTATCCTAGTATATGCATTAGAGCATATTTTCTAACTGTGTAAATTGAAGGCTCACAAATTAGTTTAGTGAGAGAAAAGATAACAGATTGGAAGAGAATTACCATATTCATTAGTTGTGTTTTTAAAATTTTAAAGTAAAATAGAGACATGATTTTTTTCATGCTTTCGAATGTATCTATAAAAAATAGACTTGAGGGCTGGGTGCAGTGGCTCACGCTTGTAATCCCAGCACCTTGGGAGGCCGAGGAGGGCGGATCACGAGGTCAGGAGTTGGAGACCAGCCTGACCAACATGGTGAAAACCCGTGTCTACTAAAAATACAAAAATTAGGCGAGTGTGGTGGCGCGCGCCTGTAATCCCAGGTACTTAGGAGGCTGAGGCAGGAGAATCACTTGAACCCGGGAAGCGGAGGTTGCAGTGAGCCAAGATCGCACCATTGCATTCCAGCCTGGGCGACAGAGTGAGACTCCGTCTCAAAAAAAAAAAAAAGTTACTGATTAATAGCATAGACCAATTGGCCTCTATTGAAATTTCTCCATTATTTTCACAATGTCCCAGGCTGTGAAACCAGTATTTAATAAAGAACCAGAATGCCACATCTCTGTCACCTGGGTAGGGACCAGTCCTGATACATTAAGTCCGGGTCTCTGGGTAACTGGACTCAACTGCTGGGCAAAACAGAATGTCCGGCGTGGGTTCCTAAATGGGGACCGCAAAGCCTCATGGGAATTGTAGTGTCACCTTCCAATGACGTTACCATCAAGGACTTTGGGAACCAGCTTTTCTCTCTGCGCATGCGCCGCCCGGCCCACTCCGCCATTTTCCTCCGGAAGTGTGGCACCCAGAGGCGGTACTGTAGCTGGGCCGGCTTGGGGCTTGGTTCTATGTCCCTGTGGGTCGGTGCGAGGGCCAGGAGGAACCCGTGAGCCTCAGGGGATCCCAGGGGGCCGGACCAGTGTTCCCTAGTTGTGGGAGCAGACGCGTGGGCGCATCACGGGAGGGCAGGGCCTGAAGAGCAGGTGCGGGCTGCGGACCCTGGCAGGGGCTGGGAGGACAGGCGTGGGGTCCCAGCAGTGACGCGGGTTCTAGAGGCACAGGAGCGGGTAGGAGAGGCCGGTGGCCCTGGGCCCGGAGTCTGCAGGCCGCGCTCCTGTCCTGCCGCTGAGGGACCCGGTTACCAACCCGCATGATGCTCAGTTTGCCCATCTGTCCCAGTGCTAACACACAGTTCTCGGGAGACGTTCCCCATTCCCAGAGGAGTAGTGTGAAACGCATGCGCCTCTAGTCTTAAACTTGACGTTTGTATTAGTTTGGTTTCCTGGTGTCTCTTTAGCAAGTGAAGTTTCTGGTTCCCTCCTTCACTGTGTGACCTGCCTAGTCCTCCTGGGTCGCATTTACAGAAGTTTATACGAGACCTAGTTTCCAGGGAAGAACTCACTGATTCCGCGAGGGAGATGGCGTAATAGATGATGGTCGTCAGCCTTAAGGGTACTTCAGTCTTAACTGTGTGTTACAAAGTTTGAAAGGGAGGGTTCCCTATGAATAAGAAGCACACTTGAAAGAACAGCCGTCTGGTCTAACCTCTCACTGGTGCTTCAGAGGAGGAAAAAAGGTCACAGGTGAAGATCCCAGTTTTCCTTGCTCAGGAAATATTAATTCTACTCCCTAGAATGCACAAGATTTGCAAAGACTAGGTGATAGTAGAAGGTTTGGACGAACTTTCAGAAGGTTGAGGTGAATTCAGCTGAGAAAAACAGGCAAGGACTTAGGAAATATTCCTTATTTGAAGGGGCCTGAAAGTGTGGTCTGGGGTACAGGAGTGACCTGTCATACTTGAGAGGATTAAAATACTCTCCAAACACAGTCCCATTCCTTCAATCTTAGCTCGTTTTTTCGCGTCTGAGATATATTAAACCTAGTCCATCACCAAATTTAGCATTAGATTGCGAGTTCTATTGATTGTATTTGATTTGTAATTTAAGATTTTCTCCCCCTACATAATTTTGTTAAAAACACAGAAGTGAATTCTGTTCACTTAGGTGTAACAGTTAATACTTGCTGTTTAAGGAACTGATTAAACCTTACTGGCTTATAAAAAACAAACACCATTTTATTTGTTTGAAGTTCTGTGGATCTGCATTTTGGTGTGGTGGATTCACCTGGGTAGTTGATATATTTGTGTTGCCTGGATCACAAAAAGGCCTTAGTCACCTGGTGCCTTGACTGAGCCTGGTTGGTTTAAGATAGTTTCCTTCACAATCTGGTGGTTTGTGGTGACTCTTGGCTAGGCCCTGTGTCTCCAACAGGGTAGCTCCAGACCTCTTCACAATTTCTCCCAAAAAGGGAAGAACCAATGGATATTTGCATCACATTTTCCATTGTCCATTCACTGGACAAGTCAGATGGAAAAGCCCAATTTATTGTCAGAGCATAATATGAGAGCTTGGATAGAAGGAAAGGTGTTATTGGGAAACATGAGTAGAATGGTGTACTGTAGGAAATACGCATTATGTACATTTTAAAAAGCGTAATTGTAGGCCAAAATTGCTGGTTTGCAAGATGCACTTTCCATGATGTTCAGGTATAGAAAAGCAAGAGGTACTGTCACGGGAACACTCATATGAAGTTATTTGTGGAATCTACATATTAATAGGAAAATAGTTAATACAGCCCAGTATATTTCTATAACATTTATTTTAGTGAACTTATGTTTCTTTGTATTAAATTATTAGATTATATCTTTAGATCATATTGTTACTAAATTAGTAGGTAATACATATATTTATTCAAAAATAAATTGTGCATCTAATGTCTACCAATTAATGTACTTGTCTATGTATCTTATCTTAACTTGAGCCTCTGCTGCCCCTAATGAGGCGTGAAGAACTCTTCTCCCCTGGAGAAGTTTTTCTTTTTCAGGAGGGAGGAGGGCTTTCCCGGGTAATGTGTCTAGAGCATTGGGCAGAAGAATCTGGGACCACACCACACCAGTTCTCTCCTTAATCCACGTCATTTGCCTTCTATCCCAGCTATGTTTCCAGTGTCCTCTGGGTGTTTCCAAGAGCAACAAGAAACGAATAAATCTCTGGTGAGTTGCTTACTTGTTCTTCACTTTGTTTTACACTGTATTTTCTGAGTTTATGGGTGTGTGTGAATTAAAAAGGAAAAGTATAAATAAGTAAAACTCAGGTTGAAGGAAATATACATAAATAAGATAAAGCTGACTTGTAGATATAGGCAGGTTATAAGAGCTTAGAGTAGTCTAAGTTGGGTGCAAATTTTCCTCTGATCTTTCTGATGCCGAGACAAAAAAGGCAGTCATATTTGTTACGTGATTGGAATGGAACCCGAGAAGAGAGCATGCTGTGTTCTTGTGGGACAGGAAAGATTGTGTGCACCAAGTCCGAACCACCACCTTCATTGGTGACATAGATTATGTGCTGGAACATATTTCACACCGGCCTGGCAGTAACCACTTGTAGTGTTGTGCAGTGGAAACGGTCATCTTCCGCTAAAGCACGGCGTGTTGTGCAGTGGTAATGGTCATCTGCCGCTAAAGTACAGCTTCCATCGTAAGGTGTGCTCATTGCTCAAAGAGTGTGGTCCCAAACAGCTTTTAGGAGGTCCTCCTTGATTCATGGATGAAACCCAGAACATCTTGAGGACTGAGTTAACCATAGGCCCTTAAATAACTCTCCAGACATTTTTCTTAGTTTATCTCTACATGCAGGGTGTGCAGCAGCCTGTTCAAAGTCATATTTTCTGGGAAATATTTCCAGTGTTTATTTGCACTTTAGCCCACTCTGTGTAGTCTTAACTTATTTCTTCTAAACTCACCATTAACCTAATTAATAGTCAAATTTAGGGGGACTGTATTGGACTTACTCAAGTCTTCTACCATAGTTGAAACTGTCGAACCCGAGTGAGTTAGAGATAAACGCCACGCTTTGAGACGAATTCAGGGGTCCTTTATTAGCTGGTGACTGAGAGACGGCTAATGCACGAAATTCTCTCGGCCCCGAAGAAGGGACTAGATTTTCTTTTATACTTTGGTTTAGAGAGGGGAGGGGGGATTCTAGCTGCAGCAACTTTACAGAAGAAAAAAACAGACAAAAAAGTTAAAAAGACTGATGGTTACAGGAAAACAAACTGTTCCAGGTGCAGGGGCTTTAAATTCACCACAAAATGATAGGTGAGGGGGCTCTGGGCATTATCTGCCAGACAAATGTGGGGCTTTATGATACTATCTCTGAATAAATTGCTGGGAACTGCAGACATCGCTTGTCTAAGCACTTTATCAGTTAATTGCACTCTTTGATATGTTGAAAGTCAACTTGCACAAGTTAAAGTCCTTGAGGAAAGGGGGTGGGTAGGGAGCCCTTGATGTCTTGTAAATGAAGGAGCCAAATGGAGTTTGTCTGGTTTTCTCAGCTAAGGGAGAGTCTATTCATATTAAAAACAAGGTTAGCTATCTAAGGAAGAGTCTATTCATGTTACAACGTTGGGTATTACAAAACATCTGTTCATGATCTGGAAATTCTTCTGTGTTAGTTCTGTTAAAAGAAAAACTTTAAAGGAGTTTAATAGAGCAATAAACGATTCACGAATCAGACAGTCCCCAGAATCACATCAGGTTCACAGAGACTCCAGCGCATTCATGTGGTGGAAGAAGATTTATAGACAAAAGGGAAATGGCATACCGAAATCGGAAGTGAGGTACAGAAACAACTCAGCGTTTGCCTTGTTTGAACACATTTTGAACATTTGGCAGTGCCTGAGTGGTTGAAGTTTGGCCATTGGGATTGGCCAAGATGTAGCTGTTGTTCAAGGTGCATACTCTTAAGTTAGTTTTTCATTCTTCTATACCTATTAAGGTAGGTTACAGTTCATCCACAATGAATCATATATAGAATTATGGAGTCCTTCTCAGGCCATACTTAGTTCACTTAACAATGCCTTCCCTTTGGTTATTTTCTCAATTTTGAGAGATTGGCCAAAACTTCAGTCACTGATGTCACTATTACCATTGCAAATGTACTTACTTGGTTTAGAAACCCACTGGGAAATAGACCAGTGAGATTTGAAAAGGTGGAACAAGGACTTGAGTAGAAGGTATCTTCTTATGCTGGAACATCCTGTTTACAGGAGAAAAACAAACCTGGTTTGTTCTAGGATTTATGTGTTTCCTTAAAGTCTTAGTTTGATTATGTTACATTTAGCAAGAGTGACTCCATTTTGGTTTGGTTTGGTCTGGTTTGGACCTATTGCATGAGTTTAGTTCAAAACAATGACCTCCCATAATTTTGCTTAAAAAATTCCTCCTTTTGGCTGGGCACGGTGGCTCACACATGTAATCCCAGCACTTTGGGAAGCTGAGGTGGGCAGATCACGAGGTCAGGAGATTGAGACCATCCTTGCTAATATGGTGAAACCCCATCTCTACTAAAAATACAAAAAATTAGCCAAGCATAGTGGTGGGTGCCTGTAGTCCCAGCTACTCAGGAGGCTGAGGTAGGAGAATGGCCTGAACCTGGGAGGTGGAGCTTGCAGTGAGCCAAGATTGTGCCACTGCACTCCACTCTGGGGGACAGACCAAGACTCTGTCTTAGAAAAAAAAGTCCTCCTTTTCAGTCAAGTTCTCACTTAGTTGAGAGTGTGACCAAAATGTAGGGCCTTATCATCACTCTTAGTTACCATTGTTTTGGGTTCCGGGTTTAGCACGTCATTCCCATTGTTTTGGGTTTCTGGTTTAGCACATCACTCCCATTGTTTTGGGTTCCAGTTTTAGCACGTCACTCCCATTGTTTTGGGTTCGGGTTTAGCACGTCACTCCCATTGTTTTGGGTTTCTGGTTTAGCAGGACGCTCCCATTGTTTCGGGTTTCTGGTTTTAGCACGTCACTCCCATTGTTTTGGGTTTCTGGTTTAGCAGGTCATTCCCATTGTTTTCAGTTTCTGATTTAGCAGGATGCTCCCATTGTTTTGGGTTTCTGGTTTAGCAGGTCACTCCCATTGTTTTGGGTTCCAGTTTTAGCACGTCACTCCCGTTGTTTTGGGTTCCAGTTTTAGCAAGTCACTCCCATTGTTTTGGGTTCCAGTTTTAGCACGTCACTCCCGTTGTTTTGGGTTCCAGTTTTAGCACGTCACTCCCATTGTTTTGGGTTTCTGGTTTAGCAGGTCACTCCCATTGTTTTCGGTTTCTGGGTTAGCAGGATGCTCCCATTGTTTTGGGTTTCTGGTTTAGCAGGTCACTCCCATTGTTTTGGGTTCCGGTTTCAGCACATCACTCCCATTGTTTTCATTTCCGGTTTTAGCACATCACTCCCATTGTTTTGGGTTCCAGTTTTAGCAAGTCACTCCCATTGTTTTGGGTTCTGATTTTAGTGCACATCACCCCCATTGTTTTGGGTTCCAGTTTTAGTATATCACTCTCATTGTTTTGGGTTTCTGGTTTAGCACGTCACTCCCATTGTTTTGGGTTTCTGGTTTTGCAGGTCACTCCCATTGTTTTGGGTTCTGGTTTAAGCACATCACTCCCATTGTTTTCATTTCCGCTTTTGGCACGTCACTCCCATTGTTTTGGGTTCCAGTTTTAGCAAGTCACTCCCATTGTTTTGGGTTTCTTGTTTAGCACGTCAATCCCATTGTTTTGGGTTCTGGTTTTAGTGCACGTCACTCCCATTGTTTTGGGTTCCCGTTTTAGTACATCACTCCCATTGTTTTGGGTTTCTGGTTTAGCATGTCACCCCCATTGTTTTGGGTTTCCGGTTTAGCATGTCACTCATAGGTTATGGTGTCCTTACGGTTGCACTTTTTTTTTAATCTCTTGTCATTCCAGTTGAAGAGATACCATTTGATATTTTAGAGATGCCTGCATGCAAACTCTTAAAACATTTGAGTAAGTACAGTGCACCAGGGAGACTCTTATGACTGTTGGGATAACACCAAGAATTTGGTATATGCTCCTAACTCAGGGTCCCCATAAATCAAACCACCTAAAATCAAATAGATTAAAGAATGAATTAGATAAAGAGTTTACTTGCTTAACTAAGTGGGTTTTTTTGTTAATTCCCTACAACCAAATTTTTATAATACCCCATGTTTTCTCCACATGCTGTAAGTGTTAGCAGCTGCACAGATACTTAAGATAAGTGTCTCATGATAGTAGAGAAGTCTTGATCTGTGATCTTGGGAAAAGCTGTTCACATTAAGGATGCCATCTTCTTCTGGGGGGAACTGTCCTTGTTAGCTTTACCTTAAGGGTTCCAATGGGTATATGGTTCCAAGTGTGGAAGGACCTTTCTGAGTTGTGAGACTATGAACCCAAAGTTTAAGGTTTTAAAGTTTTGCTGTCATGTGGATGGCAAGGGCAGTCCTTCTCTGATGTTCTCAGAAGATCCAGTCATCAGATTCCAGATTTTGAAGGGGTTGACTGTCCTCAGTGAACCATAAAAGGCTTTCTTTACCTGGTGAAAATACACTTCAGGGTAATAATCTACTGTTTTAACATCAACTCTCTCGCATGGAAGAGCTTTTATACAATCAGAAAACATGCACTGAAAATGACAACTGAATCAAATCCCTTTATAAAATGTTTAAATGGCCCATCAGGTAACCAAATGTACCTGAAGTTTTGATTGTTTTCCTAGAAATATAGGTTTGACAAACTAAACATTGGTTATAAACTATTTTAGCAGTTTAGAAATCACCACAACAATATATTTAATTTGGATCATTTTCTCTTTCCATGATGAGTTATGGAATGCAGAACTTTTAATAACAAAAGTTTTAAGGACTTAAGAAGGATAAGGTGGCCATCCTGGTTCTTCATAAGTCTGTGCTTAATTAACATTAGACTTACATCCTCTTGAATACCAGCTGTTTCTCCAAATTACGTGCATGGCACTGGTAACTGATGAGTAGTTATAGGTGATTTGACTTAGACCATGGAGTTTATTTAAATTATATACCTAAACAATTTCAATATTGGTGATTTAGCATGCAAATGTGGCAAAATATTTCCTTGGTATACAATTTTTGTTTTACTTAGGTTAGCAGTTTTATAAACCAGTTGGTCTATTTATTAAACTTTTGGGATTTTTTTTGAGACAGAGTCTCACTCTGTTACCTAGGTTGGAGTGCAGTGGCACAATCTTGGCTCACTGCAACCTCCACCTCCTGGGTTCAAAAAATTCTCTTGCCTCAGCCTCCAGAGTAGCTGGGATTACAGGCACATACCACCACACCCGGCTAATTTTTACATTTTTAGTAGAGGTGGGGTTTCACCGTTGGCCAGGCTGGTCTCAAACTCCTGATCTCAAGTGATCCACTGGCCTTGGCCTCCCAAAGTGCTGGGATTGCCAACGTGAGCCGCTGCACCCAGCCTAACTTTTGAGAATTCTTAACCTGTCCAATTCTTGGGGTATCAGGGAACTTATGGGGAATTTTTACCCATTATATTAAAGTTATTAAAAATCTGTGTTCACGAGTGTTTTTCAGGATCCTTTTCATTCTTTCATGAATCTTCTAAGAGACACCATATTCTAGAATTTTGCATGCTTGTGAAGTTTTTAGAAACTGCATCACCATTAAGCAATTAACTGTGGAAATGACTTTAAATAGTTATAGATAAAGACAATTGACAAGGAAATTTGGTTATTTCTGTGGTCTACAATAACTTAATAACCATAATTAGGGTGGATGTGGTGGCTCATGCCTGTAATCCCAGCACTTTGGGAGGCCGAGGTGGAAGGATCACGAGGTCAGGAGATCGAGACCATCCTGGCTAACACAGTGAAATCCGTCTTTGCTAAAAATACAAAAATTAGCCTGGCATGGTGGTGGGTGCCTGTAGTCCCAGCTACTCAGGAGGCTGAGGCAGGAGAATGGCATGAACCCGGGAGGTGGAGGTTGCAGTGAGCCAAGATTGCACCACTGTACTCCAGCCTGGGTGACAGAGCAAGACTCCTTCTCAGAAAAAAAAAAATACAAGAATTTTAGAAATCCTATACAATTTTAGAATGGATTGATGACATACACCGAATATAACCTAAAGAAGGTTCAACATTATTTTGTATTTTGACAGTGCTAGCCATGTGACTTAACATGTTAAATAGTCCTGTTTACCTCTCTTTTGGGTGCTTCAGGGGCCTCTGTAGTATCCCAAAGTTAGAGGTCAGAAAAGACAATTTTGAAGTTGCAATTTGATTTTGGGAAGCGTATTAAATATATTAAAGGTTTAAACACTTGATGTTATGAAATAGAATTCCACGTCAACGTAAGTCATTCATTTACCTAAAATCATGACTTAAAAAATTTTTAAAGGGCAAAAATCTTTACTCATTGATAGGGGGAAGACTTATCTCCACAAATAATCTGCCTCTTGTTTTTCCTTTTTTTTGGTAGTTTATTTACAAGGCAAACAAATTTTTCATTTTTTAATTTTATTTTATTATTATTATTATTATTATTATACTTTAAGTTTTAGGGTTTATGTGCACAATGTGCCAGTTAGTTACATATGTATACATGTGTCAGTCTGGTGGGCTGCACCCATTAACTCGTCATTTAGCATTAGGTATATCTCCTAATGCTATTCCTCCCCCCCCCCACCCCACAACAGTCCCCAGAGTGTGATGTTCCCCTTCCTTTGTCCATGTGTTCTCATTGTTCAATTCCCATCTATGATTGAGAACATTCAGTGATTGGTTTTTTGTCCTTGTGATAGTTTACTGAGAATGATGATTTCCAATTTCATCCATATCCCTACAAAGGACATGAACTCATCATTTTTTATGGCTGCATAGTATTCCATGGTGTATATGTGCCACAATTTCTCAATCCAGTCTATCGTTGTTGGACATTTGGGTTGGTTCCAAGTCTTTGCTATTGTGAATAGTGCTGCAATAAACATACGTGTGCATGTGTGTTTATAGCAGCATGATTTATAGTCCTTTGGTTATATACCCACTAATGGGATGGCTGGATCAAATGGTATTTCTAGTTCCAGATACTTGAGGAATCGCCACACTGACTTCCACAATCGTTGAACTAGTTTACAGTCCCACCAACAGTTTAAAAGTGTTTCTATTTCTCCACATCCTCTCCAGCACCTGTTGTTTCCTGACTTTTTAATGATTGTGATTCTAACTGTTGTGAGATGGTATCTCATTGTGGTTTTGATTTGCATTTCTCTGATGGCCAGTGATGATGAGCATTTTTTCATGTGTCTTTTGGCTGCATAAAGTCTTCTTTTGAGAAGTGTCTGTTCATATCCTTCACCCACTTTTTGATGGGGTTGTATTTCTTTTCTTGTAAATTTGTTTAAGTTCGTTGTAGATTCTGGATATTAGCCCTTTGTCAGATGAGTAGGTTGCAAAAATTTTCTCCCATTTTGTAGGTTGCCTGTTCACTCTGATGGCAGTTTCTTTTGCTGTGCAGAAGTTCTTTAGTTTAATTAGATCCCATTTGTCAATTTTGGCTTTTGTTGCCATTGCTTCTGGTGTTTTAGACATGAAGTCCTTGCCCATGCCTATGTCCTGAATGGTAATGCCTAGTTTTACTTCTAGGGTTTTTATGGTTTCAGGTCTAACATTTAAGTCTTTAATCCATCTTGAATTAATTTTTGTATAAGGTGTAAGGAAGGGATCCAGTTTCAGCTTTCTACATATGGCTAGCCAGTTTTCCCAGCACCATTTATTAAATAGGGGATCCACTCCTTGTTTTTGTCAGGTTTGTCAAAGATCAGATAGTTGTAGATATGCGGCATTATTTCTGATGGCTCTGTTCTGTTCCATTGGTCTATATCTCTGTTTTGGTACCCGTACCATGCTGTTTTGGTTACTGTAGCCTTGTAGTATAGTTTGAAGTCAGGTAGGGTGATGTCTCCAGCTTTGTTCTTTTGGCTTAGGATTGACTTGGTGATGCAGGCTCTTTTTTGGTTCCATATGAACTTTAAAGTAGTTTTTTCCAATTCTGTGAAGAAAGTCATTGGTAGCTTGATGGGGATGGCATTGAATCTATACATTACCTTGGGCAGTATGGCCATTTTCATGATATTGATTCTTCCTATCCATGAGTATGGAATGTTCTTCCATTTGTTTGTATCCTCTTTTATTTCATTGAGCAGTGGTTTGTAGTTCTCCTTGAAGAGGTCCTTCATGTCCCTTGTAAATTGGATTCCTAAGTATTTTATTCTCTTTGAAGCAATTGCATACGGGAGTTCACTCATGATTTGGCTCTCTGTTTGTCTGTTATTGGTGTATAAGAATGCTTGTGATTTTTGTACATTGATTTTGTATCCTGAGACTTTGCTGAGGTTACTTATCAGCTTAAGGAGATTTTGGGCTGAGACAATGGGGTTTTCTAGATATACAATCATGTCATCTGCAAAGAGGGACAATTTGACTTCTTCTTTTCCTAATTGAATACCCTTTATTTCCTTCTCCTGCCTGATTGCCCTGGCCAGAACTCCCAACACTATATTGAATAGGAGTGATGAGAGAGGACATCCCTGTCTTGTGCCCGTTTTCAAAGGGAATGCTTCAAGTTTTTGCCCATTCAGTATGATATTGACTGTGGGTTTGTCATAGATAGCTCTTATTATTTTGAGATAAGTCCCATCAATACCTAATTTATTGAGAGTTTTTAGCATGAAGCATTGTTGAATTTTGTCAAAGGCCTTTTCTGCATCTATTGAGATAATCATGTGGTTTTTGTCTTTGGTTCTGTTTATATGCTGGATTACATTTATTGATTTGCGTATATTGAACCAGCCTTGCATCCCAGGGATGAAACCCACTTGATCATGGTGGATAAGCTTTTTGATGTGCTGCTGGATTCGGTTTGCCAGTATTTTATTGAGGATTTTTGCATCAATGTTCGTCAAGGATATTGGTCTAAAATTCTATTTTTTGGTTGTGTCTCTTCCCGGCTTTGGTATCAGGATGATGCTGGCCTCATAAATTGAGTTAGGGAGGACTCCTTCTTTTTTTATTGATTGGAATAGTTTCAGAAGGAATGGTAACAGTTCCTCCTTGTACCTCTGGTAGAATTTGGCTGTGAATCCATCTTGTCCTGGACTCTTTTTGGTTGGTAAGCTATTGATTATTGCCACAATTTCAGATCCTGTTATTGGTCTATTCAGAGATTCAACTTCTTCCTGGTTTAGTCTTGGGAGAGTGTATGTGTGGAGGAATTTATCCATTTCTTCTAGATTTTCTAGTTTATTTGTGTAGAGGTGTTTGTAGTATTCTCTGATGGTAGTTTGTATTTCTGAGGGATCAGTGGTGATATCCCCTTTATTATTTTTATTGTGTCTATTTGATTCTTCTCTCTTTTTTTCTTTATTAGTCCTGCTAGCAGTGTATCAATTTTGTTGATCCTTTCATAAAACCAGCTCCTGCATTCATTAATTTTTTGAAGCGTTTTTTTGTTGCTATTTCCTTCAGTTCTGCTCTGATTTTAGTTATTTCTTGCCTTCTGCTAGCTTTTGAATGTGTTTGCTCTTGCTTTTCTAGTTCTTTTAATTGTGATATTAGGGTGTCAATTTTGGATCTTTCCTGCTTTCCCTTTGGGCATTTAGTGCTATAAATTTCCCTGTACACACTGCTTTGAATGTGTCCCAGAGATTCCGGTATGTTGTGTCTTTGTTCTCGTTGGTTTCAAAGAACATCTTTATTTCTGCCTTCATTTTATTATGTACCCAGTAGTCATTCAGGAGCAGGTTGTTCAGTTTCCATGTAGTTGAGCAGTTTTGAGTGAGTTTCTTAATGCCGAGTTCTAGTTTGTTTGCACTGTGGTCTGAGAGACAGTTTAATTTCTGTTCTTTTACATTTGCTGAAGAGGGCTTTACTTCCAAGTATGTGGTCAATTTTGGAATAGGTGTGGTGTGGTGCTGAAAAAAATGTATATTCTGTTGATTTGGGGTGGAGAGTTCTGTAGATGTCTGTTAGGTCCACTTGGTGCAGGGCTGAGTTCAATTCCTTGGTATCCTTGTGAACTTTCTGTCTTATTGATCTGTCTAATGTTGACAGTGGGGTGTTAAAGTCTCCCATTATTATTGTGTGGGAGTCTAAGTCTCTTTGTAGGTCACTCAGGACTTGCTTTATGAATCTGGGTGCCCCTGTATTGGGTGCATATATATTTAGGATAGTTAGCTCTTCTTGTTGAATTGATCCCTTTACTATTATGTAATGGTCTTCTTTGTCTCTTTTGATCTTTGTTGGTTTACAGTCTGTTCCATCAGAGTCTAGGATTGCAACCCCTGCCTTTTTTTGTTTTCCATTTGCTTGGTAGATCTTCCTCCATCCTTTTATTTTGAGCCTATATGTGTCTCTGCACGTGAGATGGGTTTCCTGAATACAGCACACTGATGGGTCTTGACTCTTTATCCAATTAGCCAGTCTGTGTCTTTTAATTGGAGCATTTAGTCCATTTACATTTAAAGTTAATATTGTTATGTGTGAATTTGATCCTGTCATTATAATGTTAGCTGGTTATTTTGCTCGTTAATTGACGCAGTTTCTTCCTAGTCTTGATGTTCTTTACAATTTGGCATGTTTTTGCAGTGGCTGGTACCGATTGTGCCTTTCCATGTTTAGTGCTTCCTTCAGGAACTCTTTTAGGACAGGCCTGGTGGTGAAAAAATCGCTCAGCATTTGCTTGTCTGTAAAGTATTTTATTTCTCCTTCACTTATGAAGCTTAGTTTGGCTGGATATGAAATTCTGGGTTGAAAATTCTTTTCTGTAAGTATGTTGAATATTGGCCCCCACTCTCTTCTTGCTTGCAGAGTTTCTGCCAAGAGATCAGCAGTTATTCTGATGGGCTTCCCTTTATGGGTAACCTGACCTTTCTCTCTGGTTGCCCTTAATATTTTTTCCTTCATTTCAACTTTGGTGAATCTCACAATTATGTGTCTTGGAGTTGCTGTTCTCGAGGAGTATCTTTGTGGTGTTCTCTGTATTTCCTGAATCTGAATGTTGGCTGGCTTTGCTGGATTGGGGAAGTTCTCCAGGATAATATCCTGCAGAGTGTTTTCCAACTCGGTTCCATTCTCCCCGTCACTTTCAGGTACACCAATCAGATGCAGATTTGGTCTTTTCACATAGTCCCATATTTCTTGGAGGCTTTGTTCATTTCTTCTTATTCTTTTTTTTCTAAACTTCCCTTCTTGTTTCATTTCATTCATTTCATCTTTCATCACTGATACACTTTCTTCCAGTTGATCTCATCATCTCCTGAGGCTTCTGCATTCTTCACATAGTTCTCGAGCCTTGGCTTTCAGCTCCATTAGCTCCTTTAAGCACTTCTCTATATTGGTTATTCTAGTTATACATTCGTCTAAAGTTTTTTCAAAGTTTTCAACTTCTTTGCCTTTGGTTTGAATTTCCTCCTGTAGCTCGGAGTAGTTTGATCGTCCGAAGCCCTCTTCTCTCAACTCGTCAAAGTCATTCTCTGTCCAGCTTTGTTCCATTGCTGGTGAGGAACAGCGTTCCTTTGGCAGAGGAGAGGTGCTCTGCTTTTTAGAGTTTCCAGTTTTTCTGCTCTGTTTTTTCCCCATCTTTGTGGTTTTATCTACTTTTGGTCTTTGATGATGGTGATGTACAGATGGGTTTTTGGTGTGGATGTCCTTTCTGTTTGTTAGTTTTCCTTCTAACAGACATGACCCTCAGCTTCAGGTCTGTTGGAGTTTGCTAGAGACCCATTCCAGACCCTGTTTGCCTGGCTATCAGCAGTGTTGTCTGCAAAACCGTGGATTTTCGTGATCCGCGAATGCTGCTGTCTGATCGTTCCTCTGGAAGTTTTGTCCTCCTGTGAACAATATCACAGGAGGTTATACACAATCTGCGATATTGTTTGTAGTATCCAGTGGGAAAGAGGATGCTATTACTCCCCATATCACAGGGGGTGTACACCCCCACTGTGATATATTCAATAACATCCAGAAGTAATATTACTGACAAAATTGCAGGGGGTGTAAACCCCACCTGTGATAACGTTCCTAATATCCCTGGGAAGAGAGGATGATATTATTCCCAATATTGCAGGGAGTGTACACCCACCCTATGATATTGTTATTAATACCCAGGAGGGGAGACAATGGTATTACTCACAGTATCAAAGAGGTTGTACAGCCCCCCTGTGATAGTTTCTAATATCCAGGGGGTGTATACCACCCTTGTGATATTGTTTCTAATATGTAGGGGGAAGGACAATGATATTACTGTCCGTATCACAGGGGGTGTACAACAAGCCCCCCGGGATGTCATTCCTAATATCCATGGGAAGAAAGAATATTATAATATCACAGAAGTTGTACACCCCCTCTGTGATATTGTTCCTAATATCAAAGACAGAAGGGTATGATGTTCTTCCCAAAATCACAGGAAGTGTATACACACCCTGTGCTATTTTTCCTAATATCGAGAGTGAGAGACAATGATACTTCCAATATCATAAGGAGTGTACACTCTCCCCGTGATACCAGGTGGGGAAATGTTGATATTACTCCAAATGTCACAGTGGGTGTACACACGTTTTGCGATATTGTTCCTAATAGCAAGTGGGGAGGAGGATTGTATTACTCCCACCATATTACTCCCCACACCCCATTATACTGTTCTTAATATCCAGATTTGGAGAGGATGATATTACTCCCAAAATCTCAGGAGGTGTAGACCCCTTCTGTGATACTGTTTCTTATATCCAGGGGAAGACTAGATGATAGTACTCCCAACAGTGCAGGGTGTTACACGCCACCCCCCATGATATTGTCTCTAATATCAAGTTGGGGAGAGGGTGATATTGCTCCAAATAGTGTAAAGGGTGCACACCAGCACTGTGATATTATTCCTAGTATCCAGAGAAGGAGAGAACGGTATTATTTTTAATATCACAGAGGCTGCACACCCCCCTTGTGATACTGCTCCTAACATCCAAGGGGTAGAGGATGAAATTACTCCCAATATCACAGTGGGTATACACCCCCCGTGGTATTGTTCCTAATATCCAGGGGGTATAGGATGATAGTACTATAAATATCGCAAGGGGTGTACACTCCTTCTGATATTGTTACTAATATCCGTGGGGGGAGTAGATGATATTACTTCCAATATCACAGGGCATGTACACCCCCCTTGTGATATTGTTCCTAATATCCTGGGAGGAGACTACGATATTACTGGCAATATCGCAGGGTGTGTGCATTCCCGTGATATTGTTCCTAATGTCCAGCAAGGGAGAAAATATTACTCCCAATATGGCGGGGGTGTACACTTCCCGTGCGATATCGTTCCTAATATCCATGGGGGAAAAGGATGATATTACTCTAAATGTCGCAGGAGGTGTAAACCGCCCCTGTGATATTGTTCTCAATATCCATGGGGGGAGAGAATGATATTACTCCCAATATCACAGGTGGTGTACACCCCTCCTGTTATATTATTCCTAATATCCAGGTTGGGAGAGAATAATATTACAGGTAAAATAGCAGGGGGTGTACACTCCGCCTGTGATATTGTTCCTAATATCTCAGGGAAGAGTGGACAATATTACTCTCAATATCGCAGGATGTGTACACCCCCTTTGTGATATTGTTCCTAATATCCATAGGGGGAGAGGGTGATACCACTCCCAATAATGCAGAAAAGGTACAGCCCCGCTGTGATATCATTCCTAATATCCAGAGGGGACAGGATGATATTACTCCCAATATCACAGAGGGCATACACTCCCTCCCCATGATATTGTTCATAATACCCAGGGGATAGAGGATGATATTACTCCCAATATCGCAGTGGGTGTACAACCACCCTGTGATATTGTTCCTAATATCCATGTGGAAAGGGTATAAAGTTACTCCCAATATCACAGGGGTTGTACAACCCCCTTGTGATATTGTTCCTTATATTCGGGGGAGAGACAATGATATAGCTGTCCATATTGCAGGTGGTGTACAACCCCCTGGGAATTTGTTCCTAATATTCAGTGGGGAAGATGATATTAATTAAAATGTCACGGGGTGTATACAACCCCTTTGTGATATTATTCCTAATATCCAGGGAAAGAAGGAATATTATTCCCAATATCGCAGGGGATGTACACCCCTCTCTGATACTCTTTCTAATATCCCTGGGGGGAGTCTATAATATTACTGGCAATATCATAAGGAGTGTATACCCCCCGTTATATTGTTCCTTATGTCCAGCAAGGGAGAAAATATTAATCCCAATATGGAACATGGTGTAGACACCCATGAGTTATTGTTCCTAATATCCAGGGAGGGAAAGGATGATATTACTCCCAATGTTGCAGTGGTGTATAACCCCCCGTGATATTGTTCCTAATATCTAGGTGGGGAAAGTACAGTATTACTCCCAATATAGCAGGGGTTGTACACCACCTTTGTGATATTGTTGTACATATCCATGGGGAAAGAAAATGATAGTACTCCCCAATATCACAGGTGGTGTACAACCCCTTGTGATACTGTTTCTAATATCCATGTTGGGGGAGGATATTACTCCCAATATTGCACGTGTTGCACAGACCCCCTTTGATATTGCTTGTACTATGCAGGGTGTCGGGGGAGAGGATGATATTGGGAGTAATATCACCCTCTCTCCCCGGATATTAAAAGCAACATTCAGGGTGGTCGACACTTCCTGCACTATTGAGTATAATATCCTCTCCCAACCTGGATATTAGGAACAATATCACAGGGGCATGTACACTCCCTTCCTTTCACCATATACAAAAATCAACTCAAGATGGATGAAGGACTTATGTAAGACCCAAAACTATATAAACCCTAGAAGAAAACTTAGGAAATATCATTCTGGACATAGGCGCAGGCAAATATTTCATGATGAAGATTCCAAAAGCAATTGCAACAAGAAGAATTGACGAGTGGGACCTAATGAAACTAAAGAGCTTCAGCACAGCAAAAGAAACTATCAACAGAGAACACCCTACAGAACAGAAGAAAATATTTTCAAATTACATATCTGAAAAAGGTCTAATACTTAGTATGTATAAAGAATCAATAAGCAAAAAGCAAACCCACTACAAATAGGCAAAGAACATGAGCCCCCACATTCACCATCCTCAAGTCCATGTGCAACTTCTTTCTGGATGCTGGACAAGGACTTGGGTACCAAGAGGGCACTGAACGGGTTAACACTTAAGCCGTCTGTAGATTCTTTTTTCAAAAGACAACGTATGTATGGCAAACAACCATATGAAAAAATACTCAACATCACTAATCATCAGAAAATCAGAACCATGAGATACCATATCACACCGGTCAGAATGGCTATAATTAAAAAATCAAAACATAACAGACGGTGCCGAGTTTGTGGAAAAAAGGGAATGCTTATACACTGCTGGTGGTGATATAGAAAGGAGACAGGGAAATACTGGGTAGAAGAGAGTGGTTCCCTGGCAAAGCCCTGCCCACAAGCCTGGAAACCCATGGCCGTAAATGGGAACAGGCATTCCTGCTTTTGCACCCAAAAGTTGTCTTTCAGCTCACCATGCACCCCTTGTCCTGTACCCATATATGCCCCAGACCCCAGGCTCCAGAAGCAGACAAGCAGATGAGGAGATGAACAGAAGAGCAGAATTGCAAAATGATGTGGCAGAAAGAAGAGAAGGAGCATCTGAATGCCAAGAGGAGTTTGGCTGGCAGTGGTTGGAGAGATCAGCCTCTGGATGGCAAAGCTCCTGGGGAAGATCATCTTCCCATTCCATCCCCTTTCCAGCTTCCCATCCATCCCATTGAGTGCCACCTCCACCACTCAATAAAACCCCCACATTCACCATCCTCAAGTCTGTGTGCAACTTAATTCTTTCTGGATGCTGGACAAGGAACTGGGTACCAAGAGGGCACTGAACAGGTTAACACTTAAGCCGTCTGTGGATGACAAAGCTAAAAGAGTGCACTGTAACACATGCCCACTTGGGCTGTAGGAGTCGCAGGAACCCACCCCTAGACAGTACCATGGCCACTTGCCCTGCCTATTGCACCTGCCTGTCTGCATGCTTCCCTGCCCAGTAAGGGGTTTGACAGCACACACGGTGGCCAGACAAGCCACACCTCTGTTGCACATCCTGCCAAGGGGAGTCAGGGAAGTCTCCAGTTTCATCAGGAATGTAAATTTGTTCAGCCATTGTGGAAAGCAGTTTGGAGATTTCTGAAATAACTTAAAACAGAACTACCATTCAACCCAGCAATCCCATTATTGGGTATATACCCAAAGGAATATAAATCATTCTGTCATAGACATATGCACGCATATTTTCATTATAACACTATTCACAATAGCAAAGACACGGAATCAACTTAGATGCCTGTTAACAGAAGACTGGATTAAAAAAATGCAGCGTACATACACCATGGAATACTACACACCTATAAAATAGGATGAAATAATGTCTTTTGCAGCAACATGAATGGAGCTGGATACCATTATTCTAAGTGAATTAATGCAGGAACAGAAAACCAAACAAACACTGCATGTTCTCACTTATAAGTGGGGGCTAAACATTGAGTCCACATGGACACAGAGAAGGGAACAATAGACACAAGGTCTACTGTGGCTGGATGGTGGGGGGAGAGTGAGGATCAAAAAACTCCCTATTAGATACTACGTTCACTACCTGGATGACTACGTAATCTGTACACCAAATCCCATTGACACACATTTTACCCATATAATAAACCTGCACATGTACCCGCTGAACCTAAAATAAATGTTGGAAGGAAATAAAGTTACAACCAACTCTTGTACTATTGTGAGGAAACAATCATATGTGTTGACAAAAAAATCAGCTACTAATAGATTTATAATAGTATATATGTAGCAGAAAAATATCAGATATAACTTATATACCCAAAAGTATGACTTAAAAACAGCATGACAATCTTTATGATGGGATATTGTGCAACTACTAGAAGCACATTTTCAGAGATTATTTATTAACATACGATAATGACTACATTGAGTGGTTTTTAGAAGCATGAATTGAAACCATGTATAAGCATGACTTTATTGAACTTATATATAACATTACACACACATTTACATAATTATAAAATAAGTATGCTCATGTTCATAATATGTATTTATTTATATTCATATGTAAGGCCAATAGGAAGTAATCTCTGTATCTGAGTTATTATTTCATAAATAATTTATGCTTGTTCTGTGAAAATAAAAACACTGCTATGGATCTTCCAAGTATCCTGAAAGGATACCGTTTATAATTAAACAATAACAATTTAAAAAATCAATTGTATTGAAAGATAATTTACATAAAATAAATACTATTTTAAAGTGCACAGTTTGCTGAGTTTTGCCAGATGTAACCATCCAGGTGAATAAAATTGATTAAACTGATCTTTCAAATAATAAATTAACTTTGCAATCTTGCTAGAAATTTAATTTGTTCACAGTTTATTATCCATTCTATGTACTGCTACATTCAATTGGTTATTATGTTTTAAGGACTTTTGAGTCTATGTTTATGAGGGATAAACATCAAAGTTGTATAATGCCTTTGTCTCGATTTGGAATCGGCAATACTGGGTTCATAAAATAAGATAGGAAATGTCCCTTTAAATTTTCTTTTTTTTTTTTTTTTTTTTTTGAGACGGAGATTCACTCTTGTTGCCCAGGCTGGAGTGCAATGGCACAATTTCGGCTCTCCACAATCTCTGCCTCCCAGATTCAAGCTATTCTCCTGCCTCTGTCTCCCAAGGAGCTGGGATTACAGGTAAGTGCCACCATGCCCTGCTAATTATGTACTTTTAGTAGAGATGGGGGTTTCTCCATGCTGGTCAGGTTGGTCTCAAACTCCTGACCCCAGGTGATCTGCCCGTCTTGGCCTCTCAAAGTGCTGGGATTACAGGTGTGAGCCACTGTGTCCGGCCCTTAAATTCTATTTCTTAAAAAGAGTCCGTTCAAGATTGATGTTATAGATACCCCTCAACTTACAATTGTTTTATGTCTTAATGAACTCATCCTAAATTGAAAATATTGTAAGTCTAAAACGCATTTAATATATTTAACCTACTGAATATCATGACTTAGCCTCGCCTACCTTAAACTTGCTCAGAACACTTACATTATCCTACGATTGGGCAAAATCATCTACCACAAGGCCCATTTTAAAATATTGAGTTTCTCATGAAATTTATTGAAAACTATACTGATAGTGAAAAACTGGTCATATTGATGCTCATCGTTAACGTACACAGATGAAAGCACCATTATCAAGTAAGAAGAGCACAAGTCAAACCACTGTAAGTTGAGGACTCTCTGTACTTTCTTAAATGTTTGATAGAATTCACCTGAGAAAGCATGTAGCCTGTAATTATAGAAATCTTTTTAAATTAAAAAAATTCTTCAATACATAGAGAAGCTATTACTTTTTCTATTTCATTTTGCATTAGTTTTAAGAATTAGATTTACAAATAATTTCCCATGTTATTTTAATTGTCAAATGTATTGGTCTAAAGTTTTCATAATTATATTGATGTCTGTAGTTTCTGTAGTTACATCCTCTATTTAATTCCCATTATCTACATTATGTAGCTTCTCTAATTTTTTTCGAGATAAATCTTGCTAGCCATTGTTTATTAAAAAATTTTTTTTCAAAGAACCAATTTGTGGGTATATTAATTAGCTCTACCTTTTGTTATTTGCTATGTTGTTGGTTTACATTTTTATCTTTATCATCTTCCTTCTTCTTAATTTGGATATACTTTGCTTATTTTTTAGCCTCTTAAAAAAGAAACTAAAGGTCATTGAAGCCTTTTATTTTCAATATATTACATCTATAAATGTACCTTTAAGAAACGGTTTATCTGCATCCCACATTTTATTAAGTTTTTAAAAAATTTTCTTTCAGTTTAAACTATTTTTTTTTGTGTGTGAAACTTTTCTTGGCCAATGGGTTTTTCTGAAGTATTTTGTTTAATGTTCAAATGTTGGGGTGTTATTGTACATATCCTACTGTTGTCCATCTCTGGTTCATGATACAATGCATGTTCTCCATTGCACTTAGATAACATGCCTCCATGTCTCTGGAGAATTCCTCAGTCTTTCTAAAATGCTTTTGATGAATACTGGCCGTTATTTTGTAGAATGTCCCGCCTCAATTTCAGTTAGTCTGATGTTTTCTCATGGTTAGGACTAAAGTTATACATTTTGTCTAAGAATACCATAGAATTGATGTTTTGTCCTACTCAGTGCATCATATAAGAAATTACATGAAGTTCATTTATCTTATTATTAGTAATGTTAACTTTGATCACTTGGCTAAGTTGACATCTCCACTTTGAAGTTACTATTCTATAATTATCTTGTGGGAAGATACTTTCATATTATGCAAATATGTTCTTTCCCAACATATATTCACCACTAATCTTAGCATTCCTCCAAGGTTCTTTCTTGCAACAATTATTACTATGATATTTGCAAAGTGATGATTCTTATATTTTATGTCTCCTACATTTAATGAAATCTTACTGTAATAAAATACTACCCACTCTCAATCTTTGGTTTATTATTTATGTCAATATGGATTTTTGTTTTGAGTTGGAGTCTTGTTTTGTCATCCAGGCTGGTGTGCAATGGTGCGATTTCCGCTCACTGCACTTCCACCTTCCGGGATTCAAGCCATTCTCCTGCCTCAGCCTCCGGAGTAGCTGGGACTACAGGCATGTGCCACCATGCCCGGCTAATTTTTGTATTTTTAGTAGAGGCAGGGATTCACCACATTGGTCAGGCTGGTCTTGAACTCCTGACCTCAAGTGATCTGCCCGCCTCTGCCTCCCAAAGGGCTGGGAATACAGGCATGAGCAACTGCACCTGGCCTGGATTAATTGAAAATTTTCTCCTGTAGATAGTAATATATTATTATTGTTATCTATTTTATTGCCCCAATTTTCTCAAATTTGGCTATGGAAGTTTATTCAAAGTGGATCTGTTTCCCTTTCACATTTTCCCCATTTTGTGAGCATTTCCTTACTTCCTAACATGACAAAATATTTCAAACTAATCTTGTATTTTCCCTGCCCAATCCTGCTATCAAATATGTCCCCAAGGAGCCTTGGTTCCTTTAATTGGAGAATGGTGTTCTCATTGTTACTGGGATGATGTTGTTTCTAGGCCCTTTTGTTAGAGGAGCTAGAAAATATATGTATGTATACTCACACATTTATACACATCTGTACTTATTTATACAATTATCCATCTGTACGTATACTAAAAACAATGATTTCATGAAACTTTTGATCCCAATCCAACACTAGATAAAGACTATATAGGCCCATTTATTTGCAAATCAGCACATAAACATAGAAGAATTATTAACAATATAAGCTGTAGCTTATGCTAAATGTTGGTTGGAACAGACAATAAGTTATGGAGAACTTCAGAGGACACTAAGGTTGGATGGGATTTTGGAAGTTGTACAGGTCAATGCCACTCCATCTATTGGCTGAGTTTCACTAGGTTAATACATGAACAACAACAAAAATAACCTAGATCAGAAGTTAAAGATCATTTTATTGACTATCTGCCGTGTCTGTGCCATTGCAGTGTACTAGGTGCACTTACGAGTCCTCTACTTACAAACTGCTTTTCACAAAATATGAAACTCCAGGAAAAGGTTCAGACATACAACGTTTGTTTTTAAAATCTTTCTACAGCCTTGTATCCTTTTTCCTTTCCTTCCTTTTACCCTTTTTAAAATGTGTTATGAGTTTTATCTTAGACTAACATCATCTGTAATGTTGCTATACGCCAGTATTCAGTTGCTGTGTTTGATGAATCATAAAATGGTGTAAAACTTCAATTAGTGTACTTTTTAAATAAAGTATCTATGAATGCATCCAGCAAAATATTTATGATTTGAGTATTCACACAATATTACTTTTCTCTGGATCTAACAATAATGTGAAAACGCAAAATGAATATAAAATATTAGCTAATAATAGATTTCAAAGTATTGTACAAGTATGAAAAATATATGATATTGTTACTTTCATATATGTAAAACATTAATAATTTTTGTCAACATAAACATCATCTTTACACCTAAACTTGTATTAATTCAATTAAGAGTTAATATAGTATCCTAAAGTCATCAAATATTCAAAAATAGGATGTATTCTGACTTGGAATATACATAAAATTAACTATTTTCAGCTGAGCAGAGTGGCTCAAGCCTGTAATTCCAGCACTTTGGGAGGCTGAGGTAGGCAGATTGCTTGAGATCAGGAGTTTCAGACCAGCCTGGCCAACATGGTGAAACCCTGTCTCTACCAAAAATACAAGTTAGCCAGGCATGGTGGAACCTGCCTCTAATCCCAACTACTCTGAAGGCTGAGGCAGAAGAATCACTTGAACCCAGGAGGCAGAGGATGCAGTGAGCCAAGATTGCGCCACTGCACTCCAGCCTGGGTGACAGAGTGAGGCTCCATATCAAAATAATAATAATAATAAGAGTAATAATAATAATAACTATTTTCTGTGAGTCCAAAGATAAAATAGCATTACAAAATACCTAATAATCCTGAGTTTGGTTTTCTTGGTTTTATTTTTTCATTTAGTTTTGTTCACTTTGACCAGTGGGCTGGTGTTTCTTAGGTGCACCAAGGTTTTCATTTTTCAGTTCAAGATTTTAAAACCTTAATGTGGTAATTTCTCTAATTTTTTTGACAGTTACGTCCCAGGTTGCAAGTTAAAATAAAATTCCCATTTTACTAAAGTCCTTGGTTTATTAATTATTTTATAATGACTTAATATATAATTTAATAAGTAATGAGGGGTACTACATTTCAGAAATCAACACTGAAGAACTTATTCATGGAACCAAACACCACCTGTTTCTCAAACACCTATTGAAATAAAAATACATATAAATAATTTTTAAAAATAAACACTAAAAATAAAGTGAAAATGAAAAAATATATATCCAGGTTAAAAAAAAAACTACTTCAGTTAAACAATAAATACTTTTTGGGGGGACTCAACTCTACTGCAAAATTATTCGTTGTTTATTATAATCAACAATACAGGTAAAAGAATAAGTTTTTAAAAATGGAAAAATTGTAAAAAATAAAACGATATTAACAAATATTGGTATACTGGTGAAGGCCGGGCTCAGTGGCTGCTTTCCAAAGTGGTTACACCAGTCGGGCATGGTGGCACACACCTGTAATCTCAGCACTTCCGGAAGCTGAAGCAGGCAGATCACTTGAGCTCAGGAGTTTGACACAAACCTGGGCTACATGACAACACCCCATTTCTACCAAAAACTGTAAAAATCAGCTGCACATGATAGCATGCACCTGTAAGTCCCAGCTACTTAGGAGGCTGAGGTGAGAGGATCACTTGTGCCTGGAAGGTCACAGCTGCACTGGCCATGTTCATTTCACTGCACTCCAGCCTGGGCAACAGAGCAAGATTTTGTCTCAAAAAAAAAAAAGTTGGTGACAATTGGAATAATTGGAACTCACATACATTACTGGTGGGAACATAAAATGGTGTAATCAATTTGGGTGTTTTCTTGGCATTTGATTTTTTTAAAAAATCAAGACATTGTTTCCCTATGTTGCCCAGGGTTGTCCTGAACTCCCGAGCTAAGAAAATCCTCCAAACTCAGCGTCTCAAATACCTGAGATTAAAGGTGTGAGCCACTGTGCCTGACCAGTGTAACCACTTTGAAAAACAACGTGGCAGTTTCTCAAAGACTAAATGTATAGTAATCACATAATGCAACAATTTCACTCCTGAGTGTAAATCCAAGAGAAATAAAAATATATGTTCACACTAAAACTTACGTACGAGTGTTCATAGCAGCCTGACTCATGATGGTGAATACGCAAAAACAACACAAATGTCCATCAACTAATGAATGGATAAACATACGTACCCTATGAACATGGGGTACGTAGGAGGTAGTGGCTAAGAGGTGAGGGTTTCTCACTCATAAGTGGGTAACTCACAAGTGGGTAATCACTTCTAAGAAAGACTGTGGTGATGGATGCACAGCTCCTTGAATATTCTAAAAACCACTCAATTGTATACTTTCTTTTTTCTTTAGTTATTTAAAGACAGGGTCTCCTTTTGTCACCCATGCTGTAGTGCAGTGGTGCCATCTGGTCTCACTGCAACCTATGGCTTCTGGGCTCAAGTGATCTTCCAGTCTCATGTCCCCAAGTAGTTGGGACTACAGGCATGAGCCACTACACCCAGCTAATTTTTGTATTTTTGCTAGAGATGCTGTTTTGCCATGTTGCCCAGGCTAGTCGCAAACTCCTGAACACAAGCGATCCACCTGCCTCAGCTGCCCAAAGTCTTAGCGTTATAGGAATTAGCCACTGCACCTGGCCTGAATTGCGTACTTTGATAAATGAATTGCATGATACGTTAATCATATTTCAATAACGTTATTATTTTAAAAATGGCTGGGCATGGCGTGGTGACTCACGCCTCTGATCTCAGCACACTGGGAGGCCAAGGTGGGTGGATTGCCTGATTTCAGGAGTTCGAGACCAGTCTGGCCAACATACTGAAACTCTGTCTCTACTAAAAATACAAAAATATTAGCTGAGAGTGGTGACATGGGCCTGTAATTCCAGCTAGTCGGGAGGCTGAGGCAGGGGAGTTGCTTGAACCAGGGAGGTGGAGGTTGCAGTCAGCTGAGATCACACCACTGCATTCCAGCCTGCATGACAGAGTGAGAGTCCGTCTCCAAAAGAAAGAAAGAAAAAGAAAATGGGCATTGAACACAGGTGGCTCCCACCTACATATAATCCAAGCACTTTGGGAAGCTGAGGCAGAAGGATCACTTGAGGCCAGGAGTCTGACAACATCCTGAGCAACACAGCAAGATCCCATCTGTACAATAAAAAATAAAGAAGTTAGCTGGGCATAGGGGCAAATGTATGTAGTCCCAGCTAGTTGGGAGGCTGAGGTGGGAGGACTGTTTGAGTCCGGGGTTTCAAGCTGCAGTGAACCATGATCATGCCACCGCACTGCAGCCTGGGTGACAGAACAAAACCCTGTCTCTAGAAAGAAAAAAAAAAGAAATCCAAGTTTTTATCACCTTCTGAGAGTAATCAACATTCAGGAGGAACAGAGAAGAACAAAAGACCACTGAATGGTTGAGGGTGGGTTGCTGGTTAGGTTCAGTGGCCAGCTGAGTAGTATCTGAAAAATTCATTAGTAAAATTATGGCACTAGGGGTGAGTCATGCAGTCGAAGGATGAATACTAAATCCAGTACAAACACCCATGGTCTTTCTTTACATGAATTCCAGTGAAAAATTTCTAAGTGCCTAAAATAGCAAGCGGTCTGAAATGATGGCAGCAGTTTATTAAAGACTGAAAAAAGAGGCCAGGCACGGTGGCTCACACCTGTAATCCCAGCACTTTAGGAGTCCAAGGCCAGTGGATCACAAGGTCAGGAGTTCAAGACCAGCCTGTCCAACATGCTGAAACCCCGTATCTACAGAAAATACAAAGCTTAGCCGGGCATGGTGACATGTGCCTGTAGTCCCAGCTACTTCAGAGGCTGAGGCAAAAGAAATGCTTGAAACCGGGAGGCAGAAGTTGCTGTGAATTGAGATTGTGCCACTGCACTCGAGCCTGGTGACAGAGGAAGATGCTGTCTCAAAAAAAAAAAAAAAAAAAAAAAGAAATGGCATCTTCAAGAACCACAAGAACCACAAGAGAGTTCCAGGCTGAAGAAGCTCTGATTCTGCATTTGCTGAACTACTGATTTGAGTTAGCCAATATAACACTATCTTAGATAAAGTGTACAAACAACTCAATTTCATCTCCTCATTAATAACTGATTGGTCTAATATCAATTCTGATTTTTAAAAAGCTAATTAGAAAAAGAATTAATTATAGAACCAATAAGAGGTTTGAATAGTTACAAGCTATTCAAAGGAGAATTCAAAAAAACATTCAGGTATGAGGCCATAAAGTATGATGAAATAAATTTCATTAATATATTTTAAAATAAACTGATTAGACAGGCAACAACACCTGGGCACGGGTCTCCTCACCTCCAGCAACACAAACCCAATCGCGCAGCTATGGGGTTGCAAAGGCTGCATAGTGACAAACAGACTGCTCTGAGCTGAGATTTCTTTACTTGTATCTGTATTCTGAGACCAGGTCTCACTCTGTCACTCTGGCTGCAATGCAGGGGTGCACTCATAGCTAACTGCAGCCGTGACCTCCTGGGCTCCGGGGATCCTCTTGCCTCACCCTCACCATAGCTATGGCTACAGATGAGCACCAAAACACCCAGCTAATTTTTTTTTTTTTTTTTGTAGAAAGAGGAGCCTTGCTATGTTGCCCAAGCTGGCCTCAAACTCCCACCCTCAAGAGATCTGCCCACCTCAACAACCTAAGTAACAGGTTCTACAGGAAAATACCACTATGCCGGGATAATTATATTTTATTAATTTTTATTTGCATAGACAGGAGGTCTTGCTGTGTTGCCCAGGGTGGTCTCAAACTCCTGGACTCAAACCATTCTCCCATCTCTGCCTCCCAAAGTGCTGAAGCTACGGGCATAAGCCACTGCACCTGGCCCGACTTAAGATTTCTGTAATCTAGCATCCCATACTTCATATAATTGGGAAAAGCAGTAGTGGTTTTTTTTTAATTACTTAGTATTTCAACAAGAATCAACCATCTCTCACCATTGCCAGGGCCCTGGTCAGAACCACTATCATCTCCCACCTGGAGGTTGCCACAGCATGGCCTCCCTGCTTCTACCCAAATCTTCCCACAATCTTTCTCAACTCAGCTGCCATGGGATGCTTTTAAATCAGTAGACAGTTCGTGTCACCTCTCTGCTCAGAACCCTTCCTCATCTCCCATCTCAGACAGAATAAAAACCAAAGCCCCAGCAATAGCCTCCCAGGGCTTACACAATCTGTACTGATCTGAGTCCAACAACTCCCTGGCCTCCTTCCCTACTTCTCTCCCTCTCTATACTCCACAGACCTCTTTCCTGAGCTTCAGACACACCACGGAGTTCCCTCTTAGCATCTTTATTCTGTTGTTTCTGCCTACAATGCTCTTCCCTCAGTACCTTGGCCAGATCCTTCCCCTCCTTCAAGTCTTTGCTCAATTTTCACTTAGGAGGCCAACCCTGACCACTCTATTTAATATTGCTATCTGTCCCTATTCCTGCCATGCTCACTCATTTCTTTTTTCTTTTTTTTTCTAAGATATAATCTCGCTGTGTCACTCAGACTGGGGTGCCATGGCACGATCACAACGCACTGAGACCTGGAGCTCTTAGGTCAAGAAATTGTCCTGCCTCAGGGCCAGACTTATCGTGAACTACTGGGCCAAAGCAACCATCCTGCCTCAACCTCCTAAATAGCTGGAATTATAGGTGTGGGCCACCAATTCTGGCTTCATGTTCATTTCTTCTTGCCGCTGTTACAAACTACCCTACATTGAGTGGCTTAATACACCACAAATCTACTAACTAAGAGGTCTGGGGGCCAGAAGTCCAAAATAGGTCTATTAAGGCTAAAGTCAAGGTGCCAGCAGGACTGCATCCCTTCTGGAGGTTCTGGAGAGAATATGTTCCCTTGCCTTTCCCAGTTGCTAAAGCCACTGCTATTCTTTGGCTCATGGCTCCTAACTGCATCTTCAAAGCCAGAAGCAAAGCATATTCGAATCTCCCTCTGTGACCTGTGCTTCCATCATCAAATCTCCTTCAATTCGGACTCTCTTACCTCCCTCTTTCACTTATAAAGACCTCTTGTGATTGCTGGACACAGAGGCCGTGGCTCACAACCATAATCCCAACAGTTTAGGAGGTCAAAGCAGGAGAAACGCTTGAGGCCAAAACTTCAGGACCAGCCTGGGAAACACGGCGAGACCCCCTCAATTAAACAACAAAAAGAAATAAGAAAAAATTAGCTGGGCATGGTAGTATGCATCTGTAGTTTCAGCTACTTGAGAGGTTGTGGAGAAAGGATCGATTTAGCCCCAGAGTTCAAGACCAGCCTCGGCAATATAACAAGATCCCATCTCTACAAAAAAAAAATACAAAAATTAGCTGGGCATGGATGGTGTGCACCTGTAGTCCCAGATGCTTGGAAGGCTGAGGTGGGAGAATTGCTTGAGCACAGGTGGTTGAGGCTGCAGTTAGCTACAACACCATCACTGCACTCCAGATTGGGTGAAACAGAGACTCTGTGTTCAAAAGAAAAAGAAAAGAAATACACATTTGGTTTCTGCCCCTCATCCTGGCACAGAGCTTCTCAAGCTCTTATAAAGGCCTTGGTGATGAAAGTGATGGGGCATCTTCTGTTTCAATATTTGGTCTTAGTCCCAGGTTTCTAACACAAGAGCCTCTAAGACCTTTGGGATCACCATAGTAAGAATGCATTTGGTGATGTTACTGAGATGACTGGGTGACTGAAAGGTCCTAGACAGCTTTAGAAAAAGGGGTGGTTGTTGTCAGAAGAACAAACCATGTGATTAGAGGCTTGGAACTGTCAGCCTCACCCCCTGGGCTCCAGGAAGAAATAGTGGCCGAAGACTGACTTAATTACCAATGGTCAATGACTTCATCAATCATGCCTGCATAATGAAGCGTTCATAAGCGCCCTTAACAACTGGAGTTGGAGAATGTCTGGGTTGCTGAACACAAGGGAGATACCAGGAAGGTAACATGCACAATAGAGGACATGGAAGTTCTGTACCCCTCTCGACATACCTTGCCCTGTGTGTTTTTTTTTTTTCTGAGACAGAGTCTGGCTCTGTCTCCCAGCCTAGAGTGCCATGGCACAATCGTGGCTCACTGCGAACTATGCCTCCCTATCTCAAGCCCCATCCTCTCATCCTCTCACCTCAGCCTCCTGAGTAGCTAGAATTATAGGCACTGAGTAGCTAGAACTATAGATAACTGTGCCTGGCTAATTTTTAGAAAAATCTTTTTGTAGAGATGCATTTTCACCTTGTTACCCAGGCTGGTCTTAATCTCCTGAGCACTTAAGCGATGCTCCCGCCTCAGTCTCCCAAAGTGCTGAAATTACAGGCATGAGCCACTGTGCCCAGCATGTACATCTCTTTCACTGGCTGTTTCTGAGATTTAGCCTTTAAAATGAACCAGTAAAAGAAAATAAATTGGTGAGATGCAGTGGTTCATGCCCATAATCCCAGCATTTTGTGAAGTTGAGGTGGGAGGATCATGTGAGCCCAGAAATTTGAGACCAGCCTGGGCAACATAACAAGACCCCATCTCTACAAAAAGTAAGAGAACATAGCCAGATATGCTGGTACAGGCCTATAATCTCAGCTATTTGGGAGGCTGAGGTGGGAGGATCACTTGAGCCTAGGAGTCCCATGCTACAGTGAGCTTTGATCACACCACTGCATTCCAGCCTGGCAACAGACTGAGACCCTGTATCTCAGAAAAAAAAGAAAACAATCTGTTTTTCTCAGTTCTGCAAGCTGTCCGAGCAAATGATTCCACCCACCAATGGGGGTCATGAAACTCTGTTTTCTAACTGGTTGGTCAAAACTACATGTAACAACCCAAGACTTGCAATTGGCATGTGGAGTGAGGGTAGACTCCTGGGACTGAGCTCCCATCCTGCGGGGTCTGCACTAACTCCAGGGAGTGTCAGGACGGAATTGTGGGATACCCAGTTGGGATCCAGATTGTCTGAAAATCAGTGTAGAAACTCCACATGCACATTTGGTCAGAGGTGTTTGACCGTAACTACTATTCACGAAAAAGGTCTACTCATTAGAACTAAAAAACACAAAATTGTAAGTTCTACAAAAACAAATCAAGCTTATCTACCGCCCAGTCCTACTGAACTACAGAATGTGAGAACAGAAGGTCTGACCATGGAGTCGAGAGCTGACAGGAATGTCACCACCATCCTGCTCTCCAAGGACTCCTCATCTTCAACAGACTCCTCATCTTCAATGGGCAGGGTGGAAACTGCAACTTGTGTCATGATCCTTGCACAAGAAAAGTAGTAAGAAAATGAGTGGTAGAAATCCAGTGTCCTAAACTCACATCCGGAGCTGTGAGAGTTTTTTACTGGCTGGATAATTCACAGTTTTCTTGAATCAGGGGAAAAATAAGACTCAGAAACTAGGAGTTTTGCCCAAAACTCTCATCAGATACAGAATCCATCCGCTAACTATCTAGTATTATTTCCATAAGTTAGATCAATTATCACTCCCAAAACAAATGCACATGGCACCCAGAATCTGTGCATTTCTCCCAAGTAAAAGAGGAGGTGGACGGGCGCAGTGTCTCATGCCTTTAACCCCAGCACTTTGGGAGGCCAAGGTGGGTGGATCACCTGAAGTCAGGAGTTCAAGACCAGCCTGGCCAACATGGTGATACCCTGTCTCTACTAAAAAAAAAAAATTTAGCCAGGTGTGGTGGCATGTGCCTGTAGTCCCAGGTTCTTGGGAGGCTGAGGCAGGAGAATCACTTGAACCCAGGAGGCTGAGGTTGCAGTGAGCAGAGATCACACCACTGCACCTCAGCCTGGATGACAGAGTGAGACTCTGTCTCAAAAAAAAAGGAGGGGAGGAAAGGAGGCAAGGCACTTTACAACCCAGTGATGGGCTACCACAACTCAACACAGCAAAGAGTTGCCAAGCTCCCTTTCTCCCGTGCACAACCCGACACAGAAGAGTTGGTGCAGTGGAATGAGGCTGGATGGAGAGAAGTTCCTCTTCTTTCTTTCCTTTTTTTTTTTTGAGATGGACTCTCGCTCTGTCACACAGCCTGGGGTGCAGTGGTGCAATCTCGGTCCCTGTAACCTCTGCCTTATGGGTTTAATCAATTCTCTGCCTCAGCCTTCTGAATACCTGGGATTAGAGGCACCCCCCCCACCACACCCAGCTAATTTTTTTTTTTTTTTTTTTTTTTAGTGGAGACTGGGTTTTGCTTTGTTGGCCAGGCTGGTCTTGAACTCCTGACTTTAGGTGATCTACCCACCTCGGCCTCCAAAAGTGCTAGGATTACAGGCATGAGCCGCTGTGCCCAGCCAAGAAGTTCCTCTTCTTACTTAGAAAACAGATCACAGGGCATCAAGTAACACGTAAAATCCTTTATAATAAGCAGTATTATTTTTGGAAAACCTTTCCTAATATTTTGGTATCAGCAAAAAGCCTCAGATTAATTTCAAACACTATAAAAATACAATACATAAACAGAAAATATTAACTGTCAGCAAGGCTATAGAGAAATTGGAAGCTGTATGCATTGCTTTTTGGAATGTAAAATGGTACAGCCCACTGTGGAAAATGGTTTAGCAGCTCCTTAAAAATATGAAGCATAGAATTATATGATCCATCAACACCCTTTAAGCGTATATACCCAAAAGAACTGAGAGCAGGGACTCAAACAGGTATTTGTACACCCGATTAACAGCAGCATTATTCACAGTGGCCAAAAGGTAGCCCAAACCTAATGCCCATCAGTAGGTGAATAGATAAAGAAAATGTAATATATACATACACAGAGTATTATTCAGCCATAAAAAGAAAAATATCTGGCCAGATTCAGGGGCTTACACCTGTAATCCCAGTATTTTGGGAGGCCAAGGTGGGCAGGTCTCTTGAGCCCCATATTTTGAGACCAGACTGGACAACATGGCACTTTTGGTTAGAAGTGTTTGACCATAACTACTATTCCAGAAAAAGATCTACTCATTAGAACTACAAATCATAAAATTATAAGTTCTACAAAAACAAATCAACCTTATCTACCACCCAGTTCTACCCAATTATATCATATTAGAACAGAAGGTCTCACCGTGGACTCGAGAGCTGATATGAGAAATGTCACCACCATCCTGCTCTCCACGGAATCATCTTCAACAGACTCCTCATCTTCCATGGACTCCTCATCTTCCATGGGCAGGGTGGAAACTGCAACTTGTGCCATGATCCCTGTGCAAAAAAGTAGTAAGAAATTGAATGGTAGAAATTCAGTGTCCTAAACTCACATCCAGAGCTGTGAGAGTTTCTCCCCGGCTGCCAAATTGTTTTTTGGGTCAGAGAAAAAAATAAAACTTGGTAACCTGGTACTCGGCTTGCCCCAAACTCTCATCAGATAGAGAATCTATCCGCTAACTTTCTATCTAGTATTATTTCCATGAAGTTACATCAATATCACTCCCAAAATAAATCCAGGTGGAAGACTAAATCCAAAGCTAGCAGAAGGAAAGAAATAATAAAGAGCATAATTAGAGCATAAATCAATCAAATAGAAGGTTGGAGAGCAGTAGAATGAAAAAATGTAGATTCTTTGAAAGATCAAGCCTTTCACTATATTGACTGAGCAAAAGATGGAAGACTAATTATTAAAATAATAAATGAAAGCAGAGCCATTACTACCAACTTTACAGAAATACAAAAGGATTATAGGAGTATACTGTGAACAACTGTCTAGCAACAAATTAGGTGCCCTGGATGAAATGGATGAATCGCTAGAAAGACACAAACTACCAAAGTGGCTCAAGAAGAAAGAGAAAATCTGAATAGACCTATAACCTAGGAGATTGAATTAGTAATCGAAAGCGATTAACAAAGAAACATTTATGACCAAATAGCTGCATTAACTGGTGAGTCAACCTAACATTTAAAGAAGAATTAATACCATTTCTTCTCACTCTTCTGACAAAATACATGAAGAAAGAATACTTGCTAATTCATTTTTTGATAACAGCATTATCCTTATACCAAAGACAAAGAGAGCACAAAAGAGAGAAATACAGCACTATATCCCTTATGAATATATAAGCAAAAATCTCAGCAAAATACTAGCAATACTAGCAAAATACTAGCAGCAATACTGTATAATCAAAGGATTGTAAACTATCACCCTTTGAGATTTATCCCCAAAATGCAAAGGTGGTTCAACATATAAAAAATCAATCAGTGTAATATTCTGTAACAGTAAAATGAATAAGCACGTGATTATTTCAATTGATGCAGATAAAACATTGATGAAATACAACACCCTTTTATAATAAAAATACTCAATAAACTAGGCATAGAAGGGATCTTCTGCAACATGACAATGGGATGTACAAAAACCCAACAGTTAATATCATGATCAATGATGAAACGCTGAAAGCTGTTTTCCTAACATCTAGAAGAAAAGGATGGTGCACTTGCCACTTGTATTCAACGTAGCACTGGCAGTTCTAGCCAGAGCAATTAGGCAAGACAAAGAAATAAAAGGCATCTAAATTAGAAATAAAAAATAGGTGTGAAATTATATCTACACATGATCTTATAGGTATAAAGCTCCAAACAAAACACAAAACCGATTATAACTAATAAAAGAGGCAGGATGCAAACAAACATAGGCAAATGAGCTATATTTCTATATAGTTGTAAAGAACTATGAAAACATTTTAAAAATTCCATTTATAATGACATCAAAGAATACATTATTCAGGCATAAATCTAACCATGGTGGTATACACAAAACATTGCTGCAAAAAACTAAAGAGAGTGGAAATAAGCGGAAAGACATTCTGTGTTCACGGGTTGTAAGACAATATTGTTAAGATGACAATACCATCTAAAGTAATCTACAGATTCAATGCAATACCATCAAAATCCCAAAGGCATTTTTGCAGAAACAAAGAAACTCATTCTAAAATCATACAAAAATTCAAAGGATCTGACAGACAAAACAGTCTTGAAAAAGAACATTGGAAAACTCACATTTTTCAGTTTCACAGCCTACTACAAATCTACAGTAATCAAGAGAGTGTGGTACTGGAATAAGACCAATAGACTTTCAGACAAATACAATAGAACAGATTTGAGATCCTACAAGTTAGTCCTCACATATATGGTCAATGACTGTTCAACAAGGTGGCCAAGTCTAGTCAAGGGAGGAAAGAACAGTCTCTTCAACAGCTGGATGTCAGTGCACAAGAGAGAAGTTAGACCCCTACCTTGCAGTATATACAAAAATTAATTCTAAATTAATAAAAGACTTAAATGTAAGGACTAAAAATATGTAACTCTTAGAAGAAAACACACGGTAAACCTTTATGACCTTTGAGTTTTAAGTGTATTCTGAAATATGACAGAAAAGCACAGATAACAAAAGAAAATACACGAAAATTAGATTTAATCAAAATAAAAAAACCCTTTATGCATCAAAGGATACTATCAAGGGAGTGAAAAGACAACCCATAATATGTGAGAAAATATGTATCTGATAAAATCAAAATGTGTATCTGATAAAAGCTTAATATCCCACAACTCAACAACAGAATTTCTAAGATCCCAATTAAAAAAATAGGCAAAGGACTTGAACAGACATTTCTCCAAAGAAGATACACAAATGTCTAAGAAGGAAAAGAAAAGATGCTAAACACCATTATTCATTAATAAAATGCAAGGCAAAACCCAAATGAGAAGCCACTTTGCATCCACTAGTAAGGCTTTCATAACAACGACACAGAAAATCAATGTTGCGAAGGAGGTGGAGAAACTGGAGCCCTCATGAACTGGCTGCTAGGAATAGAAAATGATGCACTTGCTGTGGAAAACAGTTTGGTGGTTCCTCAAAGAATCACACAGAGAAACAGGCGCCGCTGGCTTGCGGGTTCTCCTGGGCTGGCGCGGGAGGTCCCGGAATCGCAGGCGCGCATTCCTTCCCGCCTGAGGGCCCGCCTGGCCGTGACTCCTGCCCCTCTCCTCCTCCGAAGAGAGATCTGGGCCGCCCCAGGGGCCGTCTGCAGCCACCGGGGATGGGGCTGAGGGTCGGTTCCTGCCCCGGTGCAGCCGCCCCTGGGCAGACCGCCTGGCTTGGTCGCAGCCACGGCGACATCTAGCCCCAGTTCTGCGAGGCTGGGCGCGCCAGCCAGCTTGGGAGTCGCCCGGCGCCTGTAGCTGGGTGCCCAGGTGGTGGAGCATGCCCTGGGCCGCCTCTGGATCGCGGGTGCCCCTGGCCTGAGAGCCTGCCAGACCCTGCCCCGGCCCGGCTCCTCCTCTGTCAGAGCTCCAGATCTCTATCCAGGGGCCCTCTGCAGCCACCGGGGATGGGGCTGAGGGCTGGTTCCCGCCCCTGTGCAGCTGCTGCAGGACAGACCGCCTGGCTTGGCTACAGCCACAGGGACATTTGGCCCTGCTTCCGAGATGTGGGGAGTGTGGGCGAGCTCGGGAGTTGCCTGGAGGCTGCTGCCTGCACGCAGAAGGCGGCTGCAGCTCGGGTGCCCAGGCGGGCTGGAAGTGCATGGCCTGGTCGGCCTTGGGATCGCCAGCGCGCCCAGCCTGAGGGCCCCCAGGCCGTGCCTCCCAACCACTCCTCCACCTGAGGGAGATCGGAGCCGTTTGTATGGGCACTCGGCAGTCACCTCGTGTGGGGTTGAGCAGTGGGTTCTCAGTTCTCGCTCCTGTGCAGCTGCTGCCGCAGAGCAGAATGCCTGGCTTGGCTGCAGCCACTGGGACACGTGGCCCTGCTTCTGTGATGCTAGGAGCACGAGCGGGCTCGGGGGTTGCCAGGCAGCTGCTGCCTGCACACAGAGGGCGACGGCAGCTTGGGCGCCCAGATGGCGGAGCATGGTTTGGATGGCCTCTGGAATGCATGCGCGCCAGGCCTGAGGGTCACCCTGGTGGGGCCACATACCCCAGTCTTCCTCTGCTGGAGCCTGGAGCAGCTGGAATGGCCACTATTCCGTCACAGGGGATAGAGTTAAGTTTTCTTATCCCACCCATGCACACAAAAAGGTGACGATTCTGTGAGGTAATAAACGTGTTAATTGACTACATTCATGCCACTCTACACCCACAAGTAAGGCTTTCATAACAATGACACAGAAAATAAATGTTGCTAAGGAGGTGGAGAAGTTGGAGCCCTCATGATTTGGCTGCTAGGAATAGAAAATGATGCCCTTGCTACGGAAAACAATTTGGTTGTTCCTCACAGAATGAGCATTGGGTGAAAAATGAAATCAAGATGGAAATGTAAAAAATTTATTCGAACTGGATGACACAACCTATCAAGACCTCTGGGATACAGCAAAGGCACTGCTAAGAGCAAAGTTTGTAGTCCTAAAAACCTACATCAAAAAGTCTGAAAGAGCACAAACAGACAATCTAAGTTCACATCTCAGGGAACTAGAGAAGCAGGAACAAGCCAAACCCAATCCCAGCAAACACAGGAAATAACAAAGATCAGAGCAGAACTAAATGAAATTGACACAACAACAACAACAACAACAACAAATACAAAACATAAATAAAAGAAAAAGTTGGTTATTTGAAAAGATAAATAAAATTGATAGACCATTAGCAAGATTAACCAAGAAAAGAAGAGAGAAAATCCAAATAACCTCACTAAGAAATGAAACAGGGGATATTACAACTGACACCACTGAAATATTAAAGATTATTCAAGGGTACTATGAACACCTTTTGGCACATAAACTACAAAACCTAGAAGAGTTGGATAAATTCCTGGAAAAATACAACTCTCCTAGCTTAAATCAGGAAGAATTAGATACCCCAAGCAGACCAATAAAGCAAGCAGCAAGATTGAAATGGTAATTTTAAAATTACCAGCAAAAAAATCTGAGGGCCAGACAGATTCACAGCAGAGTTCTACCAGACATTCAAAGAATGTCTTCTTTCATTCAAGGAAGAAATGATACCAATCTTTTCATACTATTCCACAAGACAGAGAAAGAAGAAACCCTCCCTTATTCATTCTATGAAGCCAGCATCACCCTAATACCAAAACCATGGAAGGACATAACCAAAAAAGAAAACTACAGACCAATATCCTTGATGAACGCAGATGCCAAAATCCTTAACAAAATACTATCTAACTGAATCCGACAACATATCAAAAAATAATCCACCATGATCAAGTGGGTTTTATACCAATGATATAGGAGTGGTTTCACATATGCAAGTCAATAAGTGTGATACACCAAATAAACAGAATTAAAAAAAATCTAATATGATTATATCAACAGGTGCAGAACAAACATTTGACAAAATCTAGCATTGCTTTATGATTAAAGCTCTCAGCAAAATAGGCATACAAGGGACATACCTTAATGTAATAAAAGCCATCTATGACAAACCCACAGCCAACATACTACTGAATGGGGAAACGGTGAAAGCATTCCCTTTGAGAACTGGAACAAGACGAGGAGCCTACTCTCACCACTCCTCTTCAACATAGTACTGGAAATCCTAGCCAGAGCAATCAGACAAAAGAAGGAAATAGAGGAAATCCAAATCGGTAAAGAGGAAGTCAAACTGTCACTTGTTGCTGATGATATAATCTTTTGCCTAGAAAACCCTACGGACTCCTCTAGAAACCTCCTAGAACTGATAAAAGAATTCAGCAAAGTTTCCAGATACAAGATTAATGGACACAAATCAGTAGCTCTTCCATACATCAACAGCTACCAAGCAGAGAATCACATCAAGAACTCAACCCCTTTTACAATAGCTGCGACAAACAACAACAACAAAAAAACAAAACTTAGGAATATACCTAGCAAACGAATCAAAGGACCGCTACAATGAAAATTACAAAACGCTACTGAAAGAAATCATAGATGGAGCCAAGCACGGTGGCACATGCCTATAATCTGAGCTACTCGGGAAGCTGAGGCAGGAGAATCGCTTGAACCCGGGAGGCAGAAGTTGTAGTGAGCCGAGATCACACCATTGCACTCCCACCTCAGCGACAAGAGCGAAACTCCCTCTGAAAAAAAAAAAAAAAAAAAAAAAAAAAAAAAAAACAAGAAAGAAAAGAAGTCATAGATGACACAAACAAATGGAAATGCATCCCCATGCTCATGGATGGGTAGAACCAATATTGTGAAAATTACCATTCTGTTAAAGGCAATCTACAAATTCAATGCAATCCCCATCTGAATGCCACCATCATTCTTCACAGAATTACAAAAACAATTCTAAAATTAATATGGAACCAAAAGAGAGCCATGTAACCAAACTAAGCCTAAGCAAAAAGAACCTGGAGGTATCACACTACTTGATTTCAAACTGTACAATAAGGCCATAGTTACCAAAACACCAACGTACTGGTTTAAAAATAGGAACATAGACCAATGGAACAGAAGAGAGAACCCAGAAATTAACCCAAATACTTACAGCCAACTGATCTTCGACAAAGTAAACAAAAACATAAAGTGGGGAAAGGACCCCCTTTTCAACACATGATGTTGGGATAATTGGCGAGCCACATGTAGGGGAATAAAACTGGATTCTCATCTCTCATCTTATACAAAAATCTACTCAAGATGGATTAAGAACTTAAATCTAATTCCTGAACTATAAAAATTCTAGAAGATAACACTGGATAAACCCTTCTAGACATTGACGTACGCAAGGATTTCATGACCAAGAACCCAAATTCAAATGAAATAAAAACAAAGATAAATAGCTGGGACTTAATTAAACTAAACAGCTTTTGCATGGCAAAAGGAACAGTCAGCAGAGTAAATGGACAACTCAAAGAGTGGGACCCCTGAACCTGACCCTGACCCCTGACCCTGATCTCTAACCCCTGACCCTGACCCCTAACCCCTGACCCTAACCCTAACCCTTAACCGTAACCCCTAAGCCTAACCCCTAACCACAACCCTCACCCTCACACTAATCCAACCCTAACCCCTTATCCCTAACCCCTAACCTCTCTTAACCTCTAACTCTAAACATTGACTCTTAACTCTTAACTCTGACCCCAACCCCTATCTCCAACCCCTAACCCTAAACTTAACCCCTAACCCTAACACCAACCTTAACCCTAGGTTCGTTACTACGTTTGTACTATGTCAATGTTGATTATTATGATCTCTGTCTTAGGACTGCATGGCAGCAAGGGGATTGCGGATCTTATATCAATATTTTTGTATTGAGGCAGTGCATTAGCATTACAGGTGCTTGTTACATGAGCAATGGGAGTGTCATAATTTGGGTGTCATGTCTGCATTAGGAATGCTGCATTTGTCTTCCGAGGCTGCGGTGTGGATCTCGCACTGTGGCCGCCTCGGCTTGGCTGGGGAGAACCTCGGTTGGCAGGATTCAGAGGGGCTTTTGGTTTCCCTTTTCCACACTGAGCCCTTCTAACTGGTCTCTGGCCCTGATTATTCAGGGCTGCAAAAGGGAAGGATTTTATTCACCGTCTATGCGGTCCCAAGTTGTCCCAAAGCGAGGCAGTGCCCCAAAGGTCTGTGCTGAGGAGAACGCTGCTCTGCCTTAGCGGTGTCCCCCGGGTCTGTGCTGAGCAGAACGCAGCTCCGCCCTCGCGGTGCCCCCGGCCCGCCTGGGTCTGTGCTGAGGAGAACACTGCTCCGCCTTCGCTGTATCTCTGAAGTCTGTGCAGAGGAGAACTCAGCTCTGCCCTGGCGATGCTCTCCTTGGCTGTGCTGGGAAGAACGCAGCTCCGCCCTCGCAAAGGCGCTCAGCGCCGGCAAAAGGCGCAGAGAGGCCCACAGCGCCGGGGCAGGCGCAGAGAGGCCCACAGCGCCGGCGCAGGCGCAGAGAGGCAGAAGGCCCATGAGGGGAAGGTGAGACACCTGGGGCAAAGAAGAAAAAAAAAATGCGCCGCGAAGCAGTGTCTGGGTCATCCAGGGACGAAAGTTTTTTCCCATCAGACCTTGCGCTGGGCCCCAGGGACCCTGGGATCCCTGGTTCACGCCCGGGGTGTGCCTCAGGCGACTAGGGGTACCACAACTTGGACAGAAGGCCCATGAGTGGAAGTTGAAGTTTGTGGGAGGAGAGGTGAGGCAGCAGGGGCAGAAAAAATAAAAAAAGAGGACCGCGTCTCAGAGAAGCGGGGCCTGGGTCCCCCACGGATGAAAGTGCCTTCCCATCAGGCCCTATGCTGGGCCTGGTGGACCCTGGCGACCCTGGTTCGAGCCCAGGGTGCGCCTCGGGACAGCTTGGGGTACCACAAAGCAAAGAAAAGGTCCATGAGGGGAAGGTGAGGCACCTGAGGCAGAGAAAAAAAAAATGCTCAGCCGAGAAGCAGTGCCTGGGTCCCCCACGGATGAAAGTGCCATCCCATCAGCCCCTTCGCTGGGCCCTGGGGACCCTGGCATCCCTGGTGTGACCCTGGGGTACGCCTCGGGACAGTAAGGGTACCCCAAGGTGGGCAGAAAGCCCCTAAGGGGAAGGTGAGGCACCTAGGGCAGAGAAAAAAAAAACTTCACCACGGAGAAACACGGCCTGGGTGCCCCACAGACGAAAGTGTCTTCCCATCAGTCCCTGCACTGGGACCCAGGGACCCTGTTGTCCCTCGTTCGAGCTCAGGGTGTGCCTCGGCCGCTAAGTGCACACCAAGGGGGCTTTGGGGACACAAAACCCGTGAGGGGAAGGTGAGTTTTGAGGGAGGACAGGTGAGGCACCTGTCACAGAAAAAGAAAAAAAAGAAACCCGCACCGCGGAGAGGTGGGGCCTGGGTACCCCACGGATGAAAGTGCCTTCCCATCAGCCCCTGCGCTGGGCCACGGGGAACCTAGAGTCCCTGGTTGGAGCTCAGGGAGAGTCTCGGGCCACTAGGGATACCCCAACACGGTGGAAAGCCCATGAGAGGAAGGTGAGCTGTGAGGGAGGAGAGGTGAGGCACTTGTGGCAGAAAAGAAAAAGAAACCGCGCCACGGAAAAGTGGGGCCTGGGTCTCCCATGGAAAAAATGTGCCTTCCCATCAGTCCCTGAGCTGGGCCACGTGGACCAGGCGACCCTGGTTCTAGGCCTGGGTGCACCTCGGGCCCGCTAGGTGTACCCCAAAACGGGCTGAAGGCCCATGAGGGGAAGGTGACGTTTGACGGAAGAGAGGTGAGGCACCTGCGGCAGAAAAAAAAAAACCGTGCGGAAGAGAAGCGGGGCCTGGGTCTCCCACGGACGAAAGTGCCTTCTCATCAGCCCCTGCGCTGGGCCCCCTGGACTCTGGCGACCCTAGTTCAAGGACCAGAAGAGACTCTGGCATGCTAGGGTACCCTAAGGAAGCCAGAAAGCCCATGAGGGGAAGGCGAGATTTAAGGGAGGAGAGGTGAGTCACCTGTGGCAGAAAAAAAAAAAAAAAAAATATATATATATATATATCAGCACCTCGGAGAAGCCGGGACTGGGTCCCCACTGATGAAAGTGCCTTCCCATCAGCCCCTGCGCTAGCCCCGAGAACCTGGCGACCCTGATTGGAGACCCGGGAGCGCCTCGGGCCTGCTCGTGGTACCCCAAAGCAGGCAGAAGGCCAGTGAGGGGAAGGTGAGGCACCAGGGGCGGAGAAAAAAAACCGCAGCTTTGAGAAGCGGGGCCTGGGTACCCACGGATGAAGGTACATTCCCATCAGCCCCTGCGCTAGGCCCCGGCGACCCTGGCATCCATGGTTCGAGTCCAGGGAGAGCCTTGGGCCGGAAGGGGTACCCCAAGTAGAGCAGAAAGCCCATGATGGGAAGTTGACGTTTGAGGGAGGAGAGGTGAGGAACCTGTGGCAGAAAAAAAAAAAAGAAAACAAGCCGCGCCTAGGAGAAACTGGGCCTGGGTACCCCAAGGATGAAAATGCCTTCCCATCAGTCCCTGCGCTGGGCCCTGTGGACGCTGGAGACCCCAGTTCGAGCCCCGGGTGCGCCCCGGGCCTGCTAGGGGTACCACAAGGGGGGCAGAAATCCCATGAGGGGCAGTTGAGGTTTGAGGAAGGAGAGGTGAGGCACCTGTGGCAGAAAAAAAAAAACTGCACCACGGAGAAGCGGAGCCTGGATCCCCAACGGACGAAAGTGTCTTCCCATCAGCCCTTGCGCTGGGCACAGGGGACCCTGGCATTCCTGGTACGAGACCAGGGTGCGATTCAGGCCGCTAGGGGTACCCCAAGACAGACAGAAGGCCCATGAGGGAAAGGTGAGACACCTGGGGCAGAGAACAAAATAAAAAACTGCGCCCACCAGAAGTGGGGCCTGGGTTCCCCATGGACGAACGTCCCTACCCATAAGCCCTACACTGGGCCCCGGAGACCCTAGCATCCCTGGCTCAAAACAAGGGTGCGCCTCGGGCCGGCTAGGGGTACCTCAAGGCGGGCAGAAAGCCCATGACGGGAAAGTGAGGCACATGTGGAAAAGAAAAGAAAAAAAAACGCCACAGAGAAGCAGAGCCTGGGTCCCTGAGGAAGAACGTGTCTTATCATCAGCCACTGCGCTTGACCCTGTGGAACCTGGCTTCCATGGTTCGAGCCCAGGGTGTGCCTTGGGCCGCTAGGAGTAACCCAAAGCTTGCAGAAGGCACAAGAGGGGAAGGTGAGGCACCTGGGGCAGAGAAAAAAAAAACACAGCCGCGGAGAAGCGGGGACTGGGTCCTCCAAACGGACGAAAGTGTCTTCCCATCAGGACTTGTGCTGGGCCTCAGGGACCCTGGAGTCCCTGGTTCGATCCCACAGTGCACCTCGGGCCGCTAGGTGTACCCCAAGGCAGACAGAAGCCACATGAGAGGAAGGTAAGATTTGAGGAAGGAGAGGAAAGGCATCTATCGTAGCAAAAAAAAAAAAAAACGCGCAAAGGAGAAGCAGGGCATGGGTCCCCCACAAACGAAAGTGCCTTCCCATCAGGCCCTGAGGGTTTGAAAAAGAATGAAGAGTGACTAATGTCTACAGGGTTTTTCTCTGGTCGGGGGTGATAAGACGTTCTACAGTGGATTGCGAATTAAAATTGAATGTGCACAACCACAGGTATACTAAAAGCCACTCAATTCATGACTTTTAATGGGGGAATCTTATGTGGCGCACTCTCATGGAGACCACGGCAGACATAGTGAGAGAGAAAAAGGTGAGTAAATATCTGAAACGGAGGCAGAAACAGAGAGAATGAAAAGCCCTGTGAATGGAAGGGAGAGCGAAAAGGGAAAATGGTCCTATTTACAAATGACAGATGTGAAACTGGGGTTCACATCAACAGTGTCACTGCCAGGAAGGAGGGTGATGCTAGCCATGTCACCGGTAGTGTGTCCCGCAGGGATGCCGACCTGCTCGAGCGTCGTGCCAGCATGGGCTCTGGCAGCCACGTGGGCCAGCAGGAGAGTCCCGCTGCACAGCTGCGGGGTGAGGATAGACTGGGTGGTGATATCGGCCATGACAGGGGCCTCTTTTGCTGGCAAGAGTGTGACAGTAGCAAGTAGATGGACAGGCCTGCGTGTGAGGACGGAATGCAGGAGGGGCTCTTGTGCGGCTGCGTGTGGGGCCCTCACGGGAACCATGGAGTAATGGCCAGGTAACTGCGTCATGTGGGCTAGTAGATTGGCCAGGGATTCGAACTGAAGGACAATAACGGGGAGTAGCTGTCAGGCCCTGGGAGTGTCTGAGTGTAAGTGGAGATGGGTTTGGGGTCACTGAGGGATGCGTGGGAGCCATCCCTGTATAGGTACAGGTCATAGGGAGATAGTCTCGTGGGGCCTGTGAGTGTCTAGGGTTGTCCTGGGTGCCTGGGGCTGACTGTGGCAGAAATCTGGGGAAGGCTGGAGAGAAGTTGGGAGACCCAGGAGAGTCCCTGAAGGCAGGGGGTGAAGAGGTGAAAGAAATGGTGGAGGGTTGCAGTAAGGTCCGTGAGTTTGTATGTGATTCCTGGGTGCGGGAAGCTGACTCCACGTGAAATCTGGAGATGGTTGGAGAGTAGCTGAGAGAGACAGAAGAGTCCCTGAGGGCTGGGGATGAGAACATGAGGGAGACTGGGGAGTAAGTCAGTGAAATTCGTGAGTTCGGTGGTGTATCGTGGGTGCCTGGAACTGACTCCAGCTGGAATCTAGAGAAGTTTTGAGAGTAGCTGAAAGAGACACGAGAGTCCCTGTGGGCTGAGGGCAAAGACCTGAGAGAGACCAGGGAGGACCTCAGTGAAGTCTGTGAGTCCGTAGGTGATTCTGGAGTGTGGGAGGCTGACTCCCGCTGAAATCTGGGCGTGGTGGGAGAGTAGCTGGGACAGACAGGAGAGTCCCAGGGGGCTGGGGGTGAAGACATGAGAGAGACTGGGAAGTAACTCAGTGAAACTGCTGAGTTTGTAGGTGATACCTGGGTGCCTGGAACTGACTCCCGCTGAAATCTGGGCATGGTTGGAGAATAGCTGGGACCCACAGGAGAGTCCCTGAGGGCTGGGGGTGAAGACATGAGAGAGACCGGGGAGTAACTGCGTGAAACTGATGAGTTTGGTGGTGACTCCGGGGTGCCTGGAACTGACTCCAGCTGAAATGTGGGCATGGCTGGAGAGTAGCTGGGACAGACAGGAGAGTCCCCGAGGGCTGGTGAAGACATGACAGAGACTGGAGAGTAATTGAGTGAAATTGGTGAGTTTGGTGGTGATTCCTGGGTGCCTGGAACTGACTCCCGCTGAAGTGTGGGCGTGGTTGGAGAGTAGCTGGGACACACAGGAGAGTCCCTGAGGGTTGGAGATAAAGACCTGCTAGAGACTGAGGAGTAACTGAGTGAAATTGGTGAGTTTGGTGGTGATTCCGGGGTGCCTGGAACCAACCCCAGCTGTAATGTGGGCGTGGTTGGAGAGTAGCTGGGACAGACGGGAGAGTCCCTGAGGGATGGTGAAGACATGAGGGAGACTGGGGAGTAACGCAGTGAAATTGGTGAGTTTGGTGGTGATTTCTGGGTGCCTGCAACGGACTCCAGCTGAAGTGTGGGCGTGTTTGGAGAGTAGCTGGGACAGACTGGAGGGTCCGTAAGGGCTGGGGGTGAAGACGTGAGAGAGACTGGCCAGGATCTCCCTGAGGTCTGTGAGTTTGTAGGTGTTTCTGGGAGGTGGGGTACAGACTCCCGCTGAAACCTGGGCGTGGTTGGAGAGGAGCTGGGACAGACAGGAGAGTCATGGGTGGCTGGGGGTGAGCTGCTGGATGATGGCAGTAAGAACATATGGTATATTATTGATGAATGACGTGACTGTGATGAATCTCCAGAGGAGGGCAAGGGAGAAGACAATGACATGAGTGACTGTCCTGCTTGGTTAGGAAAGGGAGACATAAAGCTGTGGAATTCTGTTGATGATGGATGTGAGAGTGGTGAAGCCATGCGGGATGATGTAGAGTACTTCCACATCCCTGGTGAGGAGCTGCCCCTTGGGTCTGAGTTTCTGGGAGGGGAGAGGGAGAAGCTGGGTGAGGCAGGCATGAATCTTGAGGAGTCAGGGCTGGGGGACCGCTCATATTCTCCCGAGACCTGTGAGTCTCTGGGGGACTCCTGGGTGCATGGGGCTGACTCCCGCAGGAACCTGGGGATGGCTGGAGAGTAACTGGGAGCCACAGGAGAGTCCCTGAGGCCTGGGGGTGAAGAGATGAAAGACACAGGGGTGGAGCACCGTGAGGCTCGTGAGTTTGTAGGTGATTCCTGGGTGTGGGGGGCTGACTCCAGCTGAAATCTGGGGTTGTTTGGAGAGTAGCTGGGAGACACAGGAGACCCCCCGAGAGCTGGGGGTGAGCTGCTGGGTGATGGCAGTAAGAACATGTGGTATACTATTGATGAACGTGGGGACTCTGAGGAAACCTCAGAGGAGGACACAGGAGAGCCCGATGGCTTCATTGATTGCCCATCACGGTGAGGACAGGGAAATGGGAGCTTGTGGGATTCTGGTGATGACAGAGGTGAGTGTGGTGAAGCCCTAGGGGATGGTGAATGGTAGCTCCGGATCTCTGGTGAGGAGCTTCCCCTTAAGACTGAGTTTCTGAGAGGGGAGAGGGAGAAGCTGGGTGAGGCTCGCATGGACCTTGGGGAGTCCGGGCTGGGGGACCGTTCATAAGAAGAGCCAGACAAGACCCTACTGTTCTTAGGTTCAGACATGATTAGGAAACCTGCAGCTCCCAGGGGCCCCTACTAATTTTCCAACTCGCAGAAGGAAGGAGTGTGTGTGCGTGTGTGTGAGTGTGTGCGTGTGTGTGTGTGTGTGTGTCTGTGTGTGTGCGGTGTGAGGTATGTGCCCCTTAAGAAAATGGAAATCAACCAACCAATGAGACAGACACACAGACAGACAGACAGACAGACAGACAGACAGAGATTCACTTGCCCAAGTGTTCTGTCCTGTCCTCTGAATCCGCCTCCAAGTCGCAAGACGCCGTGAGCTCCAAGTCCACGCAGAGTCCGCCAAAGGCTCCGGCCGCTGACCCGCTCCGCCAAGATCTGAGTGCAGGCCAGCCAGGGTGGGTTTAAATAGCCTCGGGCGCAACCTAGCAGCGGAAAGGGCGGAGCTTCACTCCTCCTTTCCGTCAGTCACCCCCAACTTTCCCAGGCTACACCTCGTAGGAAACTGTTCTCCTACTTTGATTTCATGCGCCAACTTTGGGACAATCTAAGAACTTCCAAGTTTTCTTGGCCAGATATATTAGGAATTGTATGCACTGAAACACTGAAAACCAACTAGTGGTTCTGTGGTTCCCACGTTGTGGTTTTGACGCCAGCAGCATCCTTGCCACAATCAAACCCCGGAGATCCACAGATCTGTGTTGTAACAAGACCTCCCCCTGACCCTGATGCATGGCAGTTTAAGAAGTCTTTCCGTGTAAGCAAAAAGACTTTGAAGAAAAGGTGGAGATATGCGTTGTATAAACATTCTTTTGCTCTGGAACCACGTGGAGACTTGGCAGCCAGTTGGGTGGAGCATTCGTTGGATGAGGGTGCTCGGGTTCGGAATATCAAGGTGTGGCTCCAGATAATCCAATCATCTAATTAAGATTCCAGTTGTGCTCATCTGTTTTAAAATTCCGTTTGGGTAAATTCTTTTAGTCAGACTGAGAATGGCAAAACCTCAACCCCAATTTCCAGGGAGGGTTGAGAGCCTCAGGTGGAGTTGATCACCAATAGCCTATGGTTTAACCCATCATGCCTATAGAATGAGGTCTCCATAAAAACCCAAAAGGAATGGGTTCAGAGAGCTTCTGGATAACACTTCCTGGAAGGTACTGCGCCCCTCCCCACATGCCGGGCCCCACATTTATTTCTGAACTTTTTGCAATGTCCGCTAAAATACAACGGCAAATGTAAGTGTTTCCCTGAGTGCTGTGAGCTCTTCCAGCAAATGAATGCAACTAAATCTGGGAGTGGTGGCAACCTGATTTATAGCCAGTTGCTGAGAAGCACAGGTAAAACAACGTAGGCCTTCCCGTTGTTATTAGTGTGGGAGGCCTGCCTGGCGGGACTCGGCCCTTTGGAATCTAATGCTATGTCCCGGTAGATAGCGTCGCCATTGAATTAGAAGACACACATATGTTGAGAATAATCTTTCTGGTCATTTGCTGCATGTCTTATTTACAATATGTAATCAAATTCTTTATCCTGACCTTATGGCACCTGGGTTGAGAACCATGATTTGAACCAAACATTGGTCTGTCACTTTCTGAGTTTGAAACTTTATTTTCCCTTTAGCGTTTTGCTATTGCTTTTTCGTTTTCTTTTGTTTCGTTTCGTTTCTAAGTTCTGGGGTATATGTGCAGGATGGGCAGATTTGTTACTAAGGTAAACGTTTGCCATGGTGGTTTGCTGCACCTGTCAACCCATCACCTAGGTATTATGCCCAGCATGCAGTAGCTGTTTTCCTTAACGCTCCACCTCCCGAAAGGCCCCAGTGTGTGTTGTTCCCCTTCCTGTGTCCATGTGATCTCATTCTTCAGCTCCCATTATAAGTGAGAATGTGGCGTTTGGGTTTCTTTCCCTGGATTAGTTTGCTGAGGATAATGACCACACATCACCACTGTTTTTGTTTTGTAGTATAAAGAGTAGCATTTTATTGAATAAGATTTGCTCACAGAAAAATAAACTTAAATCTACAATGAATGCCAGACTCTACAGCAGAAAGCAATTTTCTCACTTTTCCACACACAATGGTTCCTACTAAGTGAAAAAAAGCCATAAAATTTCATTCACAAATGTACTAATTTTTCTCAAAACATCTCACATAATCATGCAGTGTACTAAAGCCATTAGATCAGTGCTTCAGTCAGGTTAAAGAAGTATCCCTCTAATAATTGACTTTTATAATGCTATCAATGTCCGCTCCCAATCAGTCTGCCATTGTTAATGGTGTACAGCATTACTGTATACAATGGAATTGATGACACCCATATCCACGGACAAACCGTGACTTATGATGGTTTGATTCATGATTTTTCAACGTTATGATGGGTTTATTGGAATATTAGATGCGTTTCTGAGTTACACCGGTTTATGAGTATGCGACCCTATACCCCAGAAACAGCTGTATAAGGAAAAACAGGTGTACCTAATAAAAATATGCTTAGTGACTTGCGATAAACCAATAGATGTTCACAACTGATGGAGAGCCGTGAAAGAGAGATAGCGGTAAATAGTTACAATAACACAATTTTCCTGCACCTGTCGAGGATTTCCCCCAAAAAACGCAGAATGTGGGATGCACCTAAGGCATATGAAAGAGAGAGGGCAGAAGGAGTAAGAGAGAAATAGGAGGAAGGAAGGAAGGAAGGAAAGAAGGAAGGTAGGAAGGAAGGAAGGAAGGAAAGAAGGAAGGAAGGAAGGAAGGAAAGAAGGACGAACGGAAGGAGAAAACACCCGGTGTTACTAAAACCCCCCAAAAATATGGTTTCCCCCTGTGGGTAAGCCTACAATGTGGATCAATCTTGAAAATATTGTGCTACGTGTTATGTCAGTCATAACAGCTCACCTATTGTGCAATTCCGTTTATAGGAAATGTCCACAATATGGAAATCTATGCATATGGGGTTGATCGCACTAGGTAGTTGCTACCTAGGGCTGAGGGTCAGGGAGAGGGTTTGAGACAGAATGAGGAGTGACTAATGTCTACAGGGTTTTTCTCTGGTCGGGGGTGATAAGACGTTCTACAATGGATTGTGAATTAAAATTGAATGTGCACAACCACAGGTATACTAAAAGCCACTCAATTCATGACTTTTAATGGGGGAATCTTATGTGGCGCACTCTCATGGAGACCACGGCAGACATAGTGAGAGAGAAAAAGGTGAGTAAATATCTGAAACGGAGGCAGACACAGAGAGAATGAAAAGCCCTGTGAATGGAAGGGAGAGCGAAAAGGGAAAATGGTCCTATTTACAAATGACAGATGTGAAACTGGGGTTCACATCAACAGTGTCACTGCCAGGAAGGAGGGTGATGCTAGCCATGTCACCGGTAGTGTGTCCCGCAGGGACGCCGACCTGCTGGAGCGTCGTGCCAGCATGGGCTCTGACAGCCACGTGGGCCAGCAGGAGGGTCCCGCTGCACAGCTGCGGGGTGAGGATAGACTGGGTGGTGATATCGGCCATGATAGGGGCCTTTTCTGCTGGCAAGAGTGTGACAGTAGCAAGTAGATGGACAGGCCTGCGTGTGAGGACGGAATGCAGGAGGGGCTCTTGTGCGGCTGGGTGTGGGGCCCTCACGGGAACCGTGGAGTGATGGCCAGGTAACTGCGTCATGTGGGCTAGTAGACTGGCCAGGGCTTCGAACTGAAGGACAATAACGGGGAGTAGCTGTCAGGCCCTGGGAGTGTCTGAGTGTAAGTGGAGATGGGTTTGGGGTCACTGAGGGATGCGTGGGAGCCATCCCTGTATAGGTACAGGTCATAGGGAGATAGTCTCGTGTGGCCTGTGAGTGTCTAGGGTTGTCCTGGGTGCCTGGGGCTGACTGTGGCAGAAATCTGGGGAAGGCTGGAGAGAAGCTGGGAGACCCAGGAGAGTCCCTGAAGGCAGGGGGTGAAGAGGTGAAGGAAATGGTGGAGGGTGGCAGTAAGGTCCGTGAGTTTGTAGGTGATTCCTGGGTGCGGGAAGCTGACTCCACGTGAAATCTGGAGATGGTTGGAGAGTAGCTGAGAGAGACAGAAGAGTCCCTGAGGGCTGGGGGTGAGAACATGAGGGAGACTGGGGAGTCAGTCAGTGAAATTCGTGAGTTCGGTGGTGTATCGTGGGTGCCTGGAACTGACTCCAGCTGGAATCTAGAGAAGTTTTGAGAGTAGCTGAAAGAGACACAAGAGTCCCTGTGGGCTGAGGGCAAAGACCTGAGAGAGACCAGGGAGGACCTCAGTGAAGTCTGTGAGTCCGTAGGTGATTCTGGAGTGTGGGAGGCTGACTCCCGCTGAAATCTGGGCGTGGTGGGGGAGTAGCTGGGACAGACAGGAGAGTCCCAGGGGGCTGGGGGTGAAGACATGAGAGAGACTGGGAAGTAACTCAGTGAAACTGCTGAGTTTGTAGGTGATACCTGGGTGCCTGGAACTGACTCCCGCTGAAATCTGGGCATGGTTGGAGAGTAGCTGGGACACACAGGAGAGTCCCTGAGGGCTGGGGGTGAAGACATGAGAGAGACTGGGGAGTAACTGAGTGAAACTGGTGAGTTTGGTGGTGACTCCGGGGTGCCTGGAACTGACTCCAGCTGAAATGTGGGCATGGTTGGAGAGTAGCTGGGACAGACAGGAGAGTCCCTGAGGGCTGGTGAAGACATGAGAGAGACTGGAGAGTAATTGAGTGAAATTGGTGAGTTTGGTGGTGATTCCTGGGTGCCTGGAACTGACTCCCGCTGAAGTGTGGGCGTGGTTGGAGAGTAGCTGGGACACACAGGAGAGTCCCTGAGGGTTGGAGATAAAGACGTGCTAGAGACTGAGGAGTAACTGAGTGAAATTGGTGAGTTTGGTGGTGATTCCTGGGTGCCTGGAACTGACTCCAGCTGCAATGTCGGCATGGTTGGAGAGTAGCTGGGACAGACGGGAGAGTCCCTGAGGGATGGTGAAGACATGAGAGAGACTGGGGAGTAACGCAGTGAAATTGGTGAGTTTGGTGGTGATTTCTGGGTGCCTGCAACGGACTCCCGCTGAAGTGTGGGCGTGTTTGGAGAGTAGCTGGGACAGACAGGCGAGTCCCTGAGAGTTGGAGATAAAGACGTGCTAGAGACTGGGGAGTAACTCAGTGAAAGTGGTGGGCTTGGCGGTGATGCCTGGGTTCCTGGAACTGTCCCGCGCTGAAATGTGGGCGTGGTTGGAGAGTAGCTGGGACAGACTGGAGGGTCCGTAAGGGCTGGGGGTGAAGACGTGAGAGAGACTGGCCAGGATCTCCCTGAGGTCTGTGAGTTTGTAGGTGTTTCTGGGGTGTGGGGTACAGACTCCCGCTGAAATGTGGGCGTGGTTGGAGAGTAGCTGGGACAGACAGGAGAGTCATGGGTGGCTGGGGGTGAGCTGCTGGATGATGGCAGTAAGAACATATGGTATATTATTGATGAATGAGGTGACTGTGAAGAATCTCCAAAGGAGGACACGGGAGAACACAATGACATGAGTGACTGTCCTGCTTGGTTAGGAAAGGGAAACGTAAAGCTGTGGAATTCTGTTGATGATGGATGTGAGAGTGGTGAAGCCATGCGGGATGATGTAGAGTACTTCCACATCCCTGGTGAGGAGCTGCCCCTTGGGTCTGAGTTTCTGGGAGGGGAGAGGGAGAAGCTGGGTGAGGCAGGCATGAATCTTGAGGAGTCAGGGCTGGGGGACCGCTCATATTCTCCCGAGACCTGTGAGTCTCTGGGGGACTCCTGGGTGCATGGGGCTGACTCCCGCAGGAACCTGGGGATGGCTGGAGAGTAACTGGGAGCCACAGGAGAGTCCCTGAGGCCTGGGGGTGAAGAGATGAAAGACACAGGGGTGGAGCACCGTGAGGCTCGTGAGTTTGTAGGTGATTCCTGGGTGTGGGGGGCTGACTCCAGCTGAAATCTGGGGTTGTTTGGAGAGTAGCTGGGAGACACAGGAGACCCCCCGAGAGCTGGGGGTGAGCTGCTGGGTGATGGCAGTAAGAACATGTGGTATATTATTGATGAACCTGGGGACTCTGAGGAATCCTCAGAGGAGGACACAGGAGAGCCCGATGGCTTCATTGATTGCCCATCACGGTGAGGACAGGGAAATGGGAGCTTGTGGGATTCTGGTGATGACAGAGGTGAGTGTGGTGAAGCCCTAGGGGATGGTGAATGGTAGCTCCGGATCCCTGGTGAGGAGCTTCCCCTTAAGCCTGAGTTTCTGAGAGGGGAGAGGGAGAAGCTGGGTGAGGCTCGCATGGAACTTGGGGAGTCCAGGCTGGGGGACCGTTCATAAGAAGAGCCAGACAACACCCTACTGTTCTTAGGTGCAGACATGATTAGGAAACCTGCAGCTCCCAGGGGCCCCTACTAATTCTCTAACTCGCAGAAGGAAGGAGTGTGTGTGCGTGTGTGTGAGTGTGTGCGTGTGTGTGCGTGTGTGTGTGTCTGTGTGTGTGCGGTGTGAGGTATGTGCCCCTTAAGAAAATGGAAATCAACCAACCAATGAGACAGACACACAGACAGACAGACAGACAGAGAGACAGACAGAGATTCACTTGCCCAAGTGTTCTGTCCTGTCCTCTGAATCCGCTTCCAAGTCGCAAGACGCCGTGAGCTCCAAGTCCACGCAGAGTCCGCCAAAGGCTCCGGCCGCTGATCCGCTCCGCGAAGATCTGAGTACAGGCCAGCCAGGGTGGGTTTAAATAGCCTCGGGCGCAGCCTAGCAACGGAAAGTGCGGAGCTTCACTCCTCCTTTCCGTCAGTCACCCCCAACTTTCCCAGGCTACACCTCGTAGGAAACTGTTCTCCTACTTTGATTTCATGCGCCAACTTTGGGACAATCTAAGAACTTCCAAGTTTTCTTGGCCAGATATATTAGGAATTGTATGCACTGAAACACTGAGAACCAACTAGTGGTTCTGTGGTTCCCACGTTGTGGTTTTGACACCAGCAGCATCCTTGCCACCATCAAACCCCGGAGATCCACAGATCTGTGTTGTAACAAGACCTCCCCCTGACCCTGATGCATGGCAGTTTAAGAAGTCTTTCCGTGTAAGCGAAAAGACTTTGAAGAAAAGGTGGAGATATGCGTTGTATAAGCATTCTTTTCCTCTGGAAACACGTGGAGACTTGGCAGCCAGTTGGGTGGAGCATTCGTTGGATGAGGGTGCTCGGGTTCGGAATATCAAGTTGTGGCTCCAGATAATCCAATCATCTAATTAAGATTCCAGTTGTGCTCATCTGTTTTAAAATTCCGTTTGGGTAAATTATTTTAGTCAGACTGAGAATGGCAAAGCCTCAACCCCAATTACCAGGGAGGGTTGAGAGCCTCAGGTGGAGCTGATCACCAATAGCCTATGGTTTAACCCATCATGCCTATAGAATGAGGTCTCCATAAAAACCCAAAAGGACTGGGTTCAGAGAGCTTCTGGATAACACATCCTGGAAGGTAGTACGCCCCTCTCCACATGCCGGGCCCCACATTCATTTCTGAACTTTTTGCAATGTCCGCTAAAATACAACGGCAAATGTAAGTGTTTCCCTGAGTGCTGTGAGCTCTTCCAGCAAATGAATGCAACTAAATCTGGGAGTGGTGGAAACCTGATTTATAGCCAGTTGCTGAGAAGCCCAGGTAAAACAACGTAGGGCTCCCCGTTGTTATTAGTGTGGGAGGCCTTTCTGGCGGGACTCGGCCCTTTGGAATCTAATGCTATGTCCCGATAGATAGCGTCACCATTGAATTAGAAGACACACATATGTTGAGAATAATCTTTCTGGTCCATGCGAGCCTCACCCAGCTTCTCCCTCTCCCCTCTCAGAAACTCAGGCTTAAGGGGAAGCTCCTCACCAGGGATCCGGAGCTACCATTCACCATCCCCTAGGGCTTCACCACACTCACCTCTGTCATCACCAGAATCCCACAAGCTCCCATTTCCCTGTCCTCACCGTGATGGGCAATCAATGAAGCCATCGGGCTCTCCTGTGTCCTCCTCTGAGGATTCCTCAGAGTCCCCAGGTTCATCAATAATATACCACATGTTCTTACTGCCATCACCCAGCAGCTCACCCCCAGCTCTCGGGGGGTCTCCTGTGTCTCCCAGCTACTCTCCAAACAACCCCAGATTTCAGCTGGAGTCAGCCCCCCACACCCAGGAATCACCTACAAACTCACGAGCCTCACGGTGCTCCACCCCTGTGTCTTTCATCTCTTCACCCCCAGGCCTCAGGGACTCTCCTGTGGCTCCCAGTTACTCTCCAGCCATCCCCAGGTTCCTGCGGGAGTCAGCCCCATGCGCCCAGGAGTCCCCCAGAGACTCACAGGTCTCGGGAGAATATGAGCGGTCCCCCAGCCCTGACTCCTCAAGATTCATGCCTGCCTCACCCAGCTTCTCCCTCTCCCCTCCCAGAAACTCAGACCCAAGGGGCAGCTCCTCACCAGGGATGTGGAAGTACTCTACATCATCCCGCATGGCTTCACCACTCCCACATCCATCATCAACAGAATTCCACAGCTTTACGTTTCCCTTTCCTAACCAAGCAGGACAGTCACTCTTATCATTGGGTTCTCCCGTGTCCTCCTCTGGAGATTCTTCACAGTCACCTCATTCATCAATAATATACCATATGTTCTTACTGCCATCATCCAGCAGCTCACCCCCAGCCACCCATGACTCTCCTGTCTGTCCTAGCTACTCTCCAACCACGCCCACATTTCAGCGGGAGTCTGTACCCCACACCCCAGAAACACCTACAAACTCACAGACCTCAGGGAGATCCTGGACAGTCTCTCTCACGTCTTCACCCCCAGCCCTTACGGACCCTCCAGTCTGTCCCAGCTACTCTCCAACCACGCCCACATTTCAGTGCGGGACAGTTCCAGGAACCCAGGGATCACCGCCAAGCCCACCACTTTCACTGAGTTACTCCCCAGTCTCTAGCACGTCTTTATCTCCAACCCTCAGGGACTCGCCTGTCTGTCCCAGCTACTCTCCAAGCACGCCCACACTTCAGCGGGAGTCCGTTGCAGGCACCCAGAAATCACCACCAAACTCACCAATTTCACTGCGTTACTCCCCAGTCTCTCTCATGTCTTCACCATCCCTCAGGGACTCTCCCATCTGTCCCAGCTACTCTCCAACCACGCCCACATTGCAGCTGGAGTCAGTTCCAGGTACCCCGGAATCACCACCACACTCACCAATTTCACTCAGTTACTCCTCAGTCTCTAGGACGTCTTTATCTCCAACCCTCAGGGACTCTCCTGTGTGTCCCAGCTACTCTCCAACCACGCCCACACTTCAGCGGGAGTCAGTTCCAGGCACCCAGGAATCACCACCAAACTCACCAATTTCACTCAATTACTCTCCAGTCTCTCTCATGTCTTCACCAGCCCTCAGGGACTGGCCTGTCTGTCCCAGCTACTCTCCAAGCACGCCCACACTTCAGCGGGAGTCCGTTGAAGGCACCCAGAAATCACCACCAAACTCACCAGTTTCACTCAGTTACTCCCCAGTCTCTCTCATGTCTTCACCATCCCTCAGGGACTCTCCCGTCTGTCCCAGCTACTCTCCAACCTCGCCCACATTTCAGCTGGAGTGAGTTCCAGGCACCCCGGAATCACCACCAAACTCACCAGTTTCACTCAGTTACTCCCCGGTCTATCTCATGTCTTCACCCCCAGCCCTCAGGGACTCTCCTGTGTGTCCCAGCTACTCTCCAACCATGCCCAGATTTCAGCGGGAGTCAGTTCCAGGCACCCAGGTATCACCTACAAACTCAGCAGTTTCACTGAGTTACTCCCCAGTCTCTCTCATGTCTTCACCCCCAGCACCCTGGGACTCTCCTGTCTGTCCCAGCTACTCCCCCACCACGCCCAGATTTCAGCGGGAGTCAGCCTCCCACACTCCAGAATCACCTACGGACTCACAGACTTCACTGAGGTCCTCCCTGGTCTCTCTCAGGTCTTTGCCCTCAGCCCACAGGGACTCTTGTGTCTCTTTCAGCTACTCTCAAAACTTCTCTAGATTCCAGCTGGAGTCAGTTCCAGGCACCCACGATACACCACCGAACTCACGAATTTCACTGACTTACTCCCCAGTCTCCCTCATGTTCTCACCCCCAGCCCTCAGGGACTCTTCTGTCTCTCTCAGCTACTCTCCACCCATCTCCAGATTTCACCTGGAGTCAGCTTCCCGCACCCAGGAATCACCTACAAACTCACGGACCTTACTGCAACCCTCCACCATTTCTTTCACCTCTTCACCCCCTGCCTTCAGGGACTCTCCTGGGTCTCCCAGCTTCTCTCCAGCCTTCCCCAGATTTCTGCCACAGTCAGCCCCAGGCACCCAGGACAACCCTAGACACTCACAGGCCACACGAGACTATCTCCCTATGACCTGTACCTATACAGGGATGGCTCCCACGCATCCCTCAGTGACCCCAAACCCATCTCCACTTACACTCAGACACTCCCAGGGCCTGACAGCTACTCCCCGTTATTGTCCTTCAGTTCGAAGCCCTGGCCAGTCTACTAGCCCACATGACGCAGTTACCTGGCCATCACTCCACGGTTCCCGTGAGGGCCCCACACCCAGCCGCACAAGAGCCGCTCCTGCATTCCGTCCTCACACGCAGGCCTGTCCATCTACTTGCTACTGTCACACTCTTGCCAGCAGAAGAGGCCCCTGTCATGGCCGATATCACCACCCAGTCTATCCTCACCCCACAGCTGTGCAGCGGGACCCCAAGAATCATTACTTCTTAAAATACAATTCAAATTAGCATGAAACATTTGCAGTTTAAGGAAAGGCTTATAGCATCAGAATCCTTAATCATAGATTTCATTATTTTGTGTTTTTTTTTTTTGAGATAGGGTCTTTGTCTGTCATCCAGGCAGAAGTGCAGTGATAATAATTCACTGCAGCCCTGAACTCTGGGTACAAGCCATCCTTTTGCCTCAGTATCCCAACTAGCTGGGTCTACAGGCATGAGCCACCATGCCCAGGTAATTAAAAAATTTTTTTTTTTTGTAGAGATGGGGGTCTCACTATGTTGCTCTGGCTGATCTCAAATTCCTGGCCTCAAGTGATCTTTCTGCCACAGCTTTTTAAAGTGCTAGGATTACAGGCATGAGCCACCATGCCTAATATAGAGTGTAATATCACTTTCAAAGTCTTATTCCTAGACCCATTTATTGACTTTGGCCTAAATAACTCAATATGATATCTCTGAAACTTTTTTTGACATTCTGTGGGGAATGATAATGAAGGAAGGGGGTTAGACACTTTTTACTAGGGGATAACTTTGTGCCATTTAAGGAGGAACACAAATGAATTATCAGAAAAATAAAAGTAAAATGAAGTACAAAAATTCTGTGGCAAAGATGATGATAGTAAATAATATATTTTATGACTCATGGTAGCTTTAACTTTGTTCTTAAAATTCTGAGTAATTTAAGGGTTCACATTTGAAGAATCTGCTGCATTACAGATAACATTTTATTGCAAGTAAATGCATTTCAAAATTTGCTATTGGTTTTGTATTAGATTATTCTCAGCCTACTTCATTATCAAGCTATACTATTTTATTCATGCAGTTTGATGATCTTATGGCGGAGAAGGAAGCTGTATCTTCAAAATGTGTCAATTTGGCTAAAGAGAATCAAGTTTTTCAACAGGAGTTATTAGCTATGAAAAAAGTACAACAGGAAGGTGAAAAACTTGAGGAGGATAAAAAGATGTTGGAAGAAGAAATATTAAATCTTAAGACACATATGGAAAACAGTATGGTAGAACTTAGTAAACTACAAGAATATAAATCAGAGCTAGATGAAAGGGCAATGCAGGCAGTAGAAAAATTAGAAGAAATCCATTTACAGGTCAGTTGTTTAAATCAGGTAAGTTTACTTGTAATGTGCTTTCATTTATTTCACTGCAAATTATATTTTGGAGATTATATATATATATATATATAGTGTTTCCTCTGCCTCTCTTGTAGCAATCTGCTTTGTAGAGTTCTAGAAAAAAATGGTATCTGTTTTTTCTTTTAAATATTTAAATTTCCATTATTAGTATAACAAAATCTATCTTTCAGAGTAATGATTCTCATTATGGAGTCATTTGATGATTAAGACCAGTTGGCATAGGAAAAAATTGTGATTTAGAAATTATGTGATAATTATGAATTGGTCTTAAGCTACAGTGTTCATTGATCACTTTTTAAAACTATGAATGGATTCTATTACTTTTTATATGACCAGATTACATTAATACAAATCAGACTTAATTCTGAATTCAGTTATTAGTTTTGATATTGCTGAAATATTTTAAACTTCATCCTCTTTTTTAACATATTCAAAAATACTCTTTGAATCACTGACTCAAAATGAAAGGCAACAAACATAATAATTAGGTTATAATTGTTTTAAAAGTGTATTCTTTTCCTCTGTTTTAGGAACAAGCACAATATAAAAAACAATTAGAGCAGTTAAACAAGGATATAATACAGCTTCACTAAATAAGAAGGAACTCACACTTAAAGATGTGGAATGTAAATTCTACAAAATGAAAACTGCTTATGAAGAGGTTACAACTGAGTTAGAAGAATATAAGGAAGCCTTTGCAGCAGCATTGAAAGCTAACAGTTCCATGTCAAAAAAATTAACTAAATCAAAACATACACTCATAGAAAATGAATTAAGCTCATTAATTTGTTTCAAAAGCATAATTTTTAGTGAGATGGCTTCAGGAGATTAGAAGGAAGTGAATGCTAATTTGACAATGTAATTTTGAAAAATAATGTTAGTAAATAATTTTACCTTTAAAATGTTAGTCAAAGATAGTTTTTTCTCTCCTCTCATTTTTTTTTTGCTTCTGTATGGCTTCCTGAAAAGTCTCATGTAATTAACCTGATCTGTTAGTTTTTTTCACTAAGTATTTTTGAAGCTTTATAATTAATGAAGTGATCTTGTTATAAAATTACTTGTCAGAATTTCCCTAAATAGAAATATTAATGTGTTTAATTTACTTTTCAGTGGATCACAACCTAAATGCAAAGTGGTACTGCTACTCTGGGCACAATTGTTTTTGATTGTGATCTTTAGTATTATCACCAGTGGGTGCCTCAAGGAAGACTATTTGTGTAACATATTCAAGATGTTACAGAAAGGCACCCTTGTGAAATAGGGAATAATTATCACAGGAATTTAAAGAAGTGTAATTCACAAAGCGGTTAAAAAATAACACCTTGTTCAGCCTGAAGGAGTGTGTGGAAGGCAGAAAGAACATGCCCCCACATCCAGGGCCTTGGTCACAGTGTTGGGGGTTAATTGCCTTCAGAGATGCTTTAGTTCTTTTTGATCACCAACCAGACATTCTAGTTCTCCCCTAGGAGTTGTTGCTCTGAATTATTCCTCAGTGCCAAATGTTTAATTGGTCCTAGACAATGGGTGAAATGTACAAGAGTGAAATCTAAAACTGGTTTACTAAACACAAGTATTCCTAGATTTTTTTTCGTTCATTTTAGTTTTCTTAACCTACATTAAGGAGTACAACATGATGTTTTGATATAATTATTTCTAGTGAAGTGGTTCTTATAATCAAGCAAATCAACAGATTCATTTTCCCACATTATTACCCTTTAAATACAAGTATTTCTAATGGAATCTTCAGAATCTTACAAGTAGAGCCATTTTAGAAGGCAGGAAGTTTTACGTGTTGAGCCATACATCACTGATAGCCATTTCTCTTCCCTGTCTACTTTGTTTGAACTGCTTGTTCAGTAGAAATCACCTTAGAAACAATGGTGCTTCTTTAGAACGATTTTAAAATTATAATTCCTTACAACAGGTATGCTCTTACACATCTTCTGTGTGAAAACACTATTTAGTGGGTAATTTGGTTTACTCTCAGGGTAAGTTTTTAAAAACTGCAAGTCATTAAGAATCATTTAAGGAAAAAGGAAATATTAAGCATTTGTCTTTGCTATCTTTACAGATCGAATAAGAAAATAACAATGATCAGTATCAGCTCTTTATGGAGAAAGAGCAGGTGAAATATTTTCTCAGCACTCTTCCTACAAGGCGAGGTCGAGAGTCACCTTGTGTTGAAAATCTTACTAGTATAGGACTCAACAGAAAATATATTCCCCAAATGCCCGTAAGAATTCCTACTTCAAACCTCAGACTTCAAATAACTGCCAGAACTACTTGACTGATGTTAGTTATATGACCATTTCTCTTTAGGGTTTCATTTCTCTAGCGTAATTCTTGTTTATAATTTGGTGAAATACTGAGTTGTTCTGTTGACTTTTGCATGTGAAGTAAAGATCATAATTAGCTGTGTTAACACAGAAAGGAAATGGGAACGTTACATTTTTTAATTCCCTGGAGCTCTCATTTTCAAGAGATATCCATTTGCTAACTTTATTCAATAAATGTGACTAAACTGACACGTTTGAAATGTCTTTAAAAGCTGCATTTAAGTTAGGTTTTAGAAATTGCATGTTATTGCCTGATAACTGATGATATACTTTGAGATGCTTTGGCTTACTCTCTAATTGATTGTAGTTTAGCTGTGGTTCATACCACATTTTTTTTTCTTTTTTTTTGAGGCAGTGTCTCACTCTGTCACCCAGGCTGGAGTGTCTTGGTGCCATCTCCACTCACTGCAACCTCCACCTCCCGGGTTCAAGTGATTCTCCTGCCTCAGCCTCCCGAGTAGCTGAGACTACAAGCACCCACCATTACACACAGCTAATGTTTGCATTTTTAGTAGAGACAGGGTTTCACCATATTGGCCAGGCTCTTCTTGAACTCCTGACCTTGTGATCTGTCTGCCTGAGCCTCTCAAAGTGCTGGGATTACAGGCATGAGCCACCACACCCGGCCCATGCCACTTTTAAAGTTTCTTTGCACCAGCCAGGTGTGGTGGCCCATGCCTGTAATCCCAGCACTTTGGGAGGCTGAGGCAGGTGTATCACGAGGTCAGGAGTTCAAGACCAGCCTGGCCAAGATGGTGAAACCCCATCTCTACTAAAAGTACAAAAAAAAATTAGCCTGGTGTGGTGGTGGGCACCTGTAATCCCAGCTACTAGGAAGGCTGAGGCAGAGAATTGCTTGAAACTGGGAGACGGAGGTTGCAGGAGCTGAGATTGCACCACTGCACTCCAGCCTGGGTGACAGGGCAAGACTCCATCTTGAAAATAAAAAAAAAATTAAAAAAAGTTTATTTGCACCATCTCAATTCTTCCCACCCATAATCACAACTGAATGATTGGCATCCAAACACTTTGCCACATATGGATGTTTATTATTTAGTAGAATCCAAAATAATTGCATTTTATGAATTAAACAAAACACTAAAATGTTCATTTCCCTTTTTATGTTAAAAGTTTTGTGCTTGGCCAGGCATGGTGGCTCACAGTTGTAATCCCAAAATTTGGGGAGGCCGAGGCAGGTGAATCACCTGACGTCAGGAGTTTGAGACCAGCCTGGCCAACATGATGAAACCTGTCTCTAGTAAAAATACAAAAATTAGCAAGGCGTGTTGGCAGGCATGTGTAATCTCAGATACTCAGGGGGCTGAGGCAGGAGAATCACTTGAACCCAGGAGACAGAGGTTGCAGTAAGCCAAGATCATACCACTGCACTATAGCCTTGGTGATGGAGACTCTGTCTCAAAACAAAACAAAAAAAAAGGTTTGTGCTTTCCTTACATAAGAGTACATCTTCTGACTATAAAAATCCTGGAAGAAAACCTAGGAAATACTCTTCTGGATATCATATTTGTCAATTAATTTATGGCTAAGTCCTCAAAAGCAATTGCAAGAATAACAAAAATTGACAAGTGTGATCTAATTTAGCTAAATAGCTTCTGCACAGCATGAGAAACTATCACGGGATTAAACAGACAGCCTAAAAGAATGGAAGAAAATATTCACAAAGTATGGATATAGCAAACCCCTATTATCCAGAATTCATAAGAGACCTAAATAAATCAACAAGCAAAAAATAAATAAGACCATTAAAAATGGGCAAAGGACATGAACAGACAGTTCTCAAAATAACACACGTAAGTGGCCAACAAACATTAACAAATGCTTACTATTGCTAATCATCAGAAAAATGCCAAACAAAACATCAATGAGATACCATTTCACACCAGTCACAATGACTTTTGTTAAAAACAAATAATAAATAAAAACTTAAAAAAGGATGTTGGGGAGGCTGTGGAGAAAAGGGAACACAACCCGTTTGTGGCAATGTAAATTAATTCAGCTACTATGGAGAGCAGTTTGGAAATTAAGAACTAAGAATGACTGTTGGATGCAGCAACCCCATTACTATACTAGGGGTATACCGAAAGGACAATAAATCATTGTAACAAAAAGATGTATACACATGTATGTTCATTGCAGCACTAGTCACAATAGCAAAGACGTGGAGTCAATCCAGGTACATCCAAGGTAGATTGAAAATCCAAGGTAGATTGGAAAATTCCATATGTACCATGGAATACTATGCAGCCATGAAAAGAACAAAATCACGTCATTTGCAGCAACATGAATACAGCTGGAATCCACTCTCCTAAACAAACCAACGCAGAAACAGAAACCAAATATCTCACGTTTTCACTCATGTGGGAGCTACATATTGGGTGCACGTTGTCATAAAGGTGGGAATAATAGACACTGGGAAATAAGAACGGGGAGGGACAGAGTGGGCCAGGGTTGAAAAACTACTTCTTGGGTCCTATGCTCACAACCTGTGTGATGGGTTTAATTGTACTGCAAACCTGGGTATCCCTCAATATGCCTTTGGAAGAAACTTACAGAGGTACCACGTTAATTTAGAATACAAACTAGAAAAAAAAAGAAAAGTTTCCTATAAGTAGAGAACAGAAATTTCTTTTTAAGATAAAATTTATTGAAGTAAAAAATGGATTAAACTTTTATAAAGGGCAGAGTTTTCTAAGAATTTCAAAGCAATGCATTCATTGCAAAAGATGGCTTTAATTACTTAATCTTTTTTTTTTTTTTTTTTTTTTTTGTGAGACAGGGTCTCACTCTGTCACCAGGCTGGAGTGCAGTGGTGCAGTCTTGGCTCACTGCAACCTCCACCTCCTGGCTTCAAGCAATTCTCCTGCCTTAGTATCCCAAGTAGCTGGGACTACAGGTGCACATCACCACGCCCAGCTAATTTTTGTATTTTTAGTAGAGATGGGGTTTCCCCATGTTGGCCAGGATGGTCACGATCTCCTGACCTTGTGATCTGCTTGCTTTGGCCTCCCCAAGTGCTGGGATTACAGGTATGAGCCACCATGCCTGGCCATTGTTTAACCTTTGTATTAATAAAACACTACCTTTCTAAAATCATGTATATGCAATAGATCAATATTAACTGCATTTTTGTCAGATTACTCTAAACAGCATTACACATATACATCCTCTGTTATCTAAACTTAAAATAAGTAGAAATTTTATTTTATTTATGTGATTATTTTTCTATTTAAGCAAACTTCAAGTTATGTCTAGTCACTAAAAATACTAAAGGCCACATTTTGTAAGTGATACATGATTTTCATGATAATGTTTCTTGTTTAATTTAGACATTATTATTATTTTTACTTACTTTAGATGGGGCCGGACTGTGTAGAATAAATAATTAGAGAAACAAAGAGAAGTACGTTGACAAAATTTATTAATTAAATTTAGGTTTATTTTAGAAATAAAGTGTAAATAGCAAATGGCATTCCTTTTCATTCTTGGGTTAGTAGATACTACATCAATATTTTTTTTCTTACACACATCTAATGAAAGATGTGAAAACAAAAACTTTCACAGAGAAGACTGTACTTATGCACCAAAAATTCATCATGTTCCAAAGCTTAAACAGTTCCCAAGAAGTCTGTGCATCTCTTTTTCACTGGCTCTACACTTTCTTAAGTTTTGCCATCCTCATGGAACTGTCAGCCAGCACACTGAAACGATTCTCAGAAAACAAAAGCATCATCAAGTTCTCAGGGTTTTGGTAGAGATTGAAGGCCAACAGACCTAAGACTCATTCAGAAATACTTAGCTGAGCAATAACCCTTCATAAGCAGTCACTTGACAGGTGACATTTTAAATCTCCTCTAATTTACCGTGTCATTGGCTTACACTTGTTCTCAGGAAAAGTTCCAAATTTTTCACCATGAAATAAAAACACCCATGTCAATGTAATTCTTGTCAAGTTACTCAGCCTTGTTTCTCACCACTTACTGCACTCTGCCCTTTGCTCTAGCACCAAACTGGATGGAGTGGAACTCTGCAGGGCTCTTCTTCACCTCAGGCTCTTTGCCTTTGCCTCTTTCCTCTATCTGGGTAGCTTTTCCTTGTCCTTCAGGTATCAACCTATGTTATCTCCTCCACCAGAAAGCCCATGATATTGACATAAAAGTGGGTAGATGTCCCTTCTCTGTGTTCCCGTAGTGCCCTGCTGTATACCTGTCATGGTATCTATGACTCTATATGGACATTGCCTGCCTGTCTGTTTTTTAGGTTAGAGTTTATGACTGTTGAGAGGTGGACCATGCCATCTTCATCTTGTAATTCCAGTGCTGGTTCTAGTACCTTAGCATGTGGCTGTTGATTACATGAATGAAGACTGAAAAAGCTCTGATATTTAAACACAATTAGAATTAATGCCATGTGTAAATTATTAAATAGTAATTTTGTATTGTAAATGCACATACATATTTCTCATTCTTATTAACTCTGATAAAGTTCTCAAGTCTTTAGTTTTTAAACTCACACTTAGTTAACTGAAGTGTTTTAGGTAAAGAACAAAATTCTTTATTTTTCTTTCCAGCTGTTGCTGTATTGGACACTTGCTCCCATCTACTTTCTTCTCTAGAATCCACGGGTAAGCCACATCTAATGAAGAGAATATTTAACCATAAAGTCTTAAGGAAAAATTCTATGTTGATTTAAAAGATTATAAAACTTTATTACTGGGCTATTTACACATTTTAATTGTTTCTCATAAAATATATAACATTCCAATATTTACTGAAGTAGGATATTTTTGTATCATATGTATGATTATAATTTATAGGGTATTTTAAATGATGTTTTTTGGCCTCCTTAAGTTTTAAGTGGATCTTGCAAATGAAAACCAGTATTATTGAGTTTGACATACTCAAATTGCCCAAATGTCAGCTGTTTAAACAACCAAGTCATCATTGATACTTTAGTAAAGGTTAGTAAAGGTCATCGAAGGCTTATTTGCATTTTACAGTTTTTATTACTTAGGAGAGTTAAGGAGTACCTGCCAGGTTTGTCCATGCTAATGTTACAATTTTCTTTTTGTAGTTCAACCGTATTTTGTATGGAGATACTTTGAGGCTCTGTAAATATCTGGTTACTCCTCAGAACCCACTAGATTTAGCATTTCATGGATGACTTGTGTTTGAACAATTATTACTATGATGGTTACCAGATGATTATTTTCTTATTCTCTTCTTTGTTCTACATGGAGAAATAAAACCAATAAATAGGGGAGAAGGAAAGCTCATGACTCTGATGCTCCAATTCCCCAAGATTAGGCCAGTAGTAGACATTCCAAGCTGACTTTATGTCTCTTTGATTTGTCTCCATTACTCTGTCGGCACTTTTTTACTTTCTGGCAGAAGATGTTCTAAGCTCAGCTTGTATTTTCTCTGCGCCAGCTCTGGAATGAGTCATTTTTTTTAGAAGCAGAGGTGGAGCCACTGAGGAAGCACAGGTGAGCCCTCCCCAGTATGTACTCACTGGTCCCCAACAGAAGAACCACTGCCACATCCACTGAGGTACCAAGAAACTAGCAAAGGGCCTTCTGGCTGTCTGGAGAGAGTCCTCATGTGGTCCCTGGCTGTCTCAGAGGTTCTGGATTAGTCTTCCTGTAGGCTCTGTGTTGTGTCTTTAGATCGGGGCTCTGTGGGAAGGGCCCTGAGAGACCCAACAGCACAGCGTGCCTTATCTGCCAAATGTCCCTCCCTTCCTCACACTCTGACACTCAGGAATAGGGTAGATGGTGTGTCCAGGCAGTGTCAGGCCACCTCACTTTCTCCTTTGAGATGGGCCCAGAGGGCCTTTGGGGTGAGTGTGGAGCTGGGAACCTGGAGCCTGAGGCCAGCTGTCTCTCCCTGTGTCTTGGAGGAAAGGCCATGTCCCAAAAAAAACCCCAGGGCCTGACCTCTGGGCACACATGCAGGGAGGGAGGGTCTATGAGCTGAGGGGGACATTGTAATGAGACTTTGCACCCCGTTGCTCCGGGGCCTGGTCAGTGGACCATGGTCAGAGATGACCTGGTCATCAGGACCTAGTCATGTGGGACCTGATCAGCAGGGGCCTGGTTAGTGGCAGCCTCCTCAGTAAAGGCCTCATCAGTGGGGACCTGGTGACCTAGTCATTGGAAGCCTGGTCAGTGGGGGGACCTAGTCAGTGGTGGCTTTATTAGTGGGGCCTGATCAGTTGGAACATAAACAATGAAAAACTGGTTGGTGGGGCATACACAATATATCACCGGCCTGGTCAGTGTGGGGCCTTAGTGGCTTGGAGCCTGGTCAGTGAAGGCCTGGTCAGAGGGGGCTCGGTCAGCTGGGTACTCGTTCATGGAGAATTGTTCAGTGGGGGGTCGGGTGAGCAGCAACCTGGTAAATTGTGGTCTTGTCAGTGGGAACCCGGTCTTGTCAATGGGGACCAGGTCAGTGGAAAATTGGTCAGTGGGGTCTGGCCCATGAATCCTATTAAGTGTGGGCCTGGTTAGGAAGACATGGTCAGTGGGGACTTGATCAGTGGGACCTGGTCAATGGAGGAGTGGTCATTAGGGGCCTCATCACTCATCACTGGGAACCTGGTCAGGGGCAGTTGGTCAGTACCTGGCCTGCTGGCCACTATGTGACCTCAGGCAGGGGGGTTGTCTGTGGAGCCTCCTTGCCTCCATCTGCAGGGAAAGTGAGTCGGGGCACCCTGGAGGGTGGCTGGAAAGAGAAGGTGAGAAGATGTGTTGAATCCAATACTGCTTGGCAGACCTACAACTTTACAAATGACCTGTGTTCCACCTAGAGAGGGTGCCAGCCCTCTCAGCATTATGCAGTGCCCCTTTTCTGTCTGCATCCCCAGGACCACCATGGGTGGGGAGGGCAGAGATTGGGGAGCACCTATAGAGGCTCTAATGCTCTAAGGTGACAGTGATGAGGACCTGGATGCACCCATGAGTGGAGAAGCTAGGCCTGTCCAGAGAAGCAAGACAAACACACACATACACACACACACAGGCACACATGCATACACAAATACACTGCATACACACATGTCAGTTCAGGGGATAGAGGACACTGACTCTGGGCACTGTTGACCCAAGCAGACTCCCATGGTGGTGGGTTGTGTCACCCCACAATGTCACTGTTGCTGAGTCCCCATCGCCTCTGTGTTGTGGAGCAGTTAGAGACACACAGCAGTGTCTGTGAGTAGCTCTGCGTGAAGGACCATTTTCTAGATGAGAGGCACATCTCAACACAGCTCACTGATCAGATTCAGGTGAGTGGGATCTGCTCTTTTCTCTTCCTCCTGGCTTGGGAAAAGTCACTATCAGGTGGATGGTTTCGGTCTCTGGGCAGCTACTGAGGGTAATCCCTGAACACTCACCAGCTGCCTGTTATGTGCTGACAGTCATCTCATTCATCCTCGCAGCAATTCCATTCTGCATCTTTTCTGATCACCTCCGTGACCACACAGGACAACCCCATCAGGGCCCTGTCACCAGGCCCAGTCTAGCTCCATGATAACCAAGACACAGGTCCAGAGACAATCGTCCTACATTGTGCCTGCATCTGACCCCCCTTGGTAGGTAGTGACCAGCACAACATGGAAGAAGCCAGGGCAGCATGCAGCCAGCTGCTCTGCAGCCCCAAATGGCTCCTGGGCCTTGGGAAGTCATTCATAAAGGGGAAGCTGGTCACTTTGAGGTCCCTGAAGGGAAGGGTGAACGTGCATCCCAACAGCCCTGGCAGCCAGCAGCATGCCATACATATTCTTACCCAACGTGTGTGACAGAGGTCCCCTCCTGGGGCACAAGTCCCATACCTAAAGCATCCTGTCCCAGTTGGACCTCATCCTGAGCCCTGGGAGGGGAGGGGAACCATGGGCCCCCCTGCAGCAGCCAGGATTACCACCCAGGGGACTCGGCCTTCTGTGGCCCTGGCCAGACTTAGAATTTGGCCCAAGACAAACTTACTCGGAGCAGCTTCTCAGTACCTGGGGCCTGTGTATGCCAGGCAAGGCCAAGCTGGCTCAAAGAGCAACCAGCCACCTCTGCAATGGTGTGCCAGGAGCAGGTGGAGCAGTCACCAACCTCACCCACTCAAGGAAACAGGGATGGCCAGTTTCCCACAGTCTGAGTGACCACCACCTGACAGCTGATGGAGTGGAGGCCTGAGGAAAAGCAGATGGCACTGGGGCTCCACCTCCAGGGCAGAATAACTGATTTACCCTGACTGGCAGGGAGTGACGCTGGTGGCTGGTCCACTGGCTCCTGGCACACCCTTGCAGAGGTGGGTGGTTGTTCTTTGAGCCAGCTTGGCTTTGCCTGGCATGCACAGGCCTCAGTGCAACAAATGTGCTGCAAATGGAGCCACATAGAGGAAATGAGCAGCAGGCTCAGAACTGGGGTGTGTGCTGCCTCTGGGGCTCCAGTCCAAGCATCGGGGCTTCTACAGCACTGTGGGCTTCTCGGGTGCCAAGAGGCAGACCACAAGCCATCTTGAGGAGGACTCTGGTAAGAGCTTCCTTGTGTATGTGGATGATGTCCAGAATGTTGGTCTGGTGTCCCTGAGACAGCACTAACAGGTCCATGACTGGGTCCAGATCCTGCCTGGGCTGATGGGCAAAGAGCTCACTGACAGTGTGGAAGGCATCTATGGTGAAGTGGATCTATGTTCAAGTGCAGAAAGGGCCCAGTCTTGTAGATGAACCACACAGCCAGCTTCTGGATGCAGGTGCAGTGCCACATTTTTTGTCACTTCCTGATGTGCCCCACCAGCACTGAAGAGATAGCCTGGAGACAGGGCAAGAGGAAGGCTGAGAAGGATGAGATGGTGAGTGCCAGATTCTTCCTGGCCCTGAGCCCACCCCCAGTGTGACACTGAACTTTTAGGAGTGGGAGAGCAAGATTGACAGCTTCAAGTGCTTCACCAAGAAGATGGACAACAGGGCACTCAGCTCAACTTCACAGCCAATGAGTGGTGGCAGGCTTTGAGAAAGAGCATCAGAAGCCTGACAGTTCTTCTTCAGCCTCAGCCAGGCCTTGGAGCTGGACCAGGCCATCCACTTCAGTATAGATGCCTTCCACTCTGTCAGTGAGCTCTTTGCCAGTCAGCCCAGGAAGGACCTGGACCCAGCCATGGACCTGTTAGTGCTGTCTCAGGGACACCACACCAACATCCTGGACATCATCCACATACACAAGGAAGCTCTTACCAAAGTCATGGAGAGCAGGCAACATGTGGCAGAAGGGAAGACAGAGGTGCAGAGGCTGATGACGTCAGAATCACAGGAACAGGATTTCTTTGGCCACTTTGGCTGAAATTCACCACTTCCATCCAATTCCAGTGAGAGACATGGACTCACAGATGCAGCATTTCTTGCAACAAGATATACTACTTTTTCAAAAAGTCACCCAGGAATTGATAGTGTTGAATGACTCGATACTCGATCGTGGACGGTTTCCAGTTCAAGGATACTTTCTACAGCAGAATAATAACACTAGCAAAGAGCTAGTACAAGGATGGTTTTGTGCTCAACTGAAATCCAGCTGAATACAGAATTGTATAGGAAACAGTTAATATGGTGATAGAATAGAAACAGTAGCAATCATGAACTAAATCATACTATGAATGCCTAAACTACTGCTGTAACTTTTGGAAAAATGATAATACCACTTTATTGCTTTTTGAAGTATGAATATTTTAGTGTATATGCTCTAGACTTCAAACTCTATAAAGAGTCTCAAAGAAGTTGGCTGGATAAAGCCTGCTGTGGATGTCTTTATATTCAAAGATTGATGATGCAATTTGAATATATGTCCCCACCGAATCTCATGTTGAATTATATTTCCTAATGTGGAAGGTGGATCCTGGTATAAGGTGATTGAATTATGAAGGCAAATTTCTCATGAATGGTTCAGCACCATCCCCTTGTACCATCCTCACAATAATGAGTGACTTCTCATGAGATGTAGTCACTGAAATCTCTATATCACCTCCCCACTCTCCGTGTTTTCCCCTTGCCATGTGAGACAATTGATTCTTTCTTTGCCTTCCATGATTATTGAAAGATTTCTGAGGCCTAGAAGCAGAAGCACTGTGCTTAGAACCATGAGCCAATTAAACCTCTTTTTCAAAATAAATCATACAGGAAATGGCAAATGAGGACTGGAGCGTTGCTATAAAGATACCTGGAAATGTTGAAGCAGCTTTGGAACCAGGTAATGGACGGAGGTTGGAAGAGTTTGGAGGGCTCAAAAGAAGACAGATGAGAAAACTTTTGGACCATCTTAGAGTCTGGTTCAATGGTTGTGACAAAAATCCTGACAGAAACATGGACAGTGAAGGCCAGGCTGAGGAGGTCTCAGAGAGAAATAAGAAGCTTTCTGGAAAATGTCTTCCTTTTGGAAATGGAAAGCTTACACAATGCCTGCTTTTTATTTCAGAGACTCATAGGCAAAAGAGACTGTAGCCTTGACCCAGATGAGACTTTGGACTTTGTAACTTTGAGTTAATCCTGAAATGAGTTAAGACTTTGGGAGACTGCTGGCAAGGCATGTTTGTATTTTGCAATGTGAGAAGGACATGAGATTCATTGGGTCAAGGACAGAATAATACGGTTTTTGTCTATGTCCCTACCAAAACTCATGTGGAATTACATTTTGTAATGTTACAGGCAAGGTCTAGGTGGAAAAAGATTTAGTCATAAAATGGTGCAGGTAGACACTTCACGAATGATAAAGAACCATCACCTTGATGCTATCCTCCTGATAATGAGTGAGTTCCCATGAGATCTTGTTGTTTAACAGATCTCATCCTCCTGCTCCTGCTTTAGGAGACATCTCATTGTCCCTTGGCTTTCTGATATAATGAGGAGGCTTCCTGATTCCTCCCAGAAACAGAAGACACTATACTTCCTTCACAGCTTGCAGAACCATGAGTCAATTACACCTCTTTTATTTACAATAATACAGAAAAGTAGAACTGCAGAGAGGAGCTGTGAAATGCCTTCAAGGCCTTTTTCCCTTTGTTTGGGCTATTAGCACAGGGCTTCTTTATATGCAAATTTCTGAAATCTTCTTGAATGTTTCCCCTTAAATGGGATTTTTGTTCTTGCTACATAGCCAACCTGCTATACAGGTTTCTGAAAAAGTAGAAGCAGGCTCAGTAGTGGGTAGCAAACAAAGATTGGAAGGGTTTGGGGGGATTAGATTATGACAGGGAGTGGGAGGGAGTGATTTAATCATGGATGGGTGTGGGTGGATGTGGAAGGGAAAAAGGGGTGGGTAGGGTGGGAGGGAGTAGACTGGCTGTACGGTGGTGGGAGGGTGGTGGGTAGTAGGAAGGGGTAGTAGCCTGCTGCAGAGGCAGAGTCTCATGGAAAATCCCTACTAGGGAAGCGCACCTGTGGCTTTGCAGGTTTGAGCCCCAATGGCTGCTCTCATGGACTGGACTAGTGTTGAGTGCCTGTAGCTTTTCCACACGGAGGGTGCAAGCTGTTGGTGGGTCTATGTATCTGGGGTCTGGAGGGTGGTGGCCCCCTGCATGGGGGCTCCAAGTCCATATTTTCCTTCGGCACTGCCCTAGTAGAGGTTTCCCAAGAATGCTTCATCTGCAGCAGGCTTCTGCCTGGAAACAGTGGGAGGTGGGGGTGGGAGGCAGATCCTTCACCAATGGTTAGGCAACATCTTCTTGATACTGTCTTCATGATAGTGTGTTCTCATGAGATCTGGTTATATAACAGGGGGTGGCACCTCTTTCCTCTCTCAGTCTTTCTTCTACCCCTGCCATTTGAAACATCTCATTGCCCCTTGGCCTTCTGGTATGATTGGAAGGCTTCCTGATCTGATCCTCCCAGAAGCAGAAGCCACTGTGCTTCCTTTACAGCCTGCTGGACCGTGAGCCAATTAAACCTCTTTTCTTTATGATCATGCAGAAAATTAGTACTATGAAGTGGAGCCATGAAATGCCTTCAAGGCCCTTTCCCCTTTGTCTTGGCAACCGGCACTCAGTTTCTTTTCATGCAAATATCTGAATCCTTCATGAACTTTCCCCCTGAAAATGGACTTTTCTGTTTTACCACATTACCAGGCTGTGATAAAGATAGCTGACAATGTAGAACCAGGTTCAGAAGTGGGTAAAAGACAGAGGTCAGAAGAGTTGGGAAAGCTTAGAAGACAGCAAGATGAGGAAAATATTGGACCACTATAGAGAATTGTTAAATACTTGTGATAGGAAGGCTGACAAAAGTGTAAACACTGAAGTCCAGACCTAAAAGTTCTCAGATGAAAATGAGGAATTTCCTATGAACAAGAGACAAGATTACATTTGATTGGCCTTAGCAAAGAAGCTGGCTGCATGGGGACCCTGCCCTGGAGATCTGTGAAACTATGAACTTGGGGGTGATGATTTAGGATGTATCTGGTGAAATGAACATCTAGGCAGCATAGCACAAGAGGTGTCCTGCCTACATTGAACAGCTTGTGTTCTTATGGGTGACCTAAGAAGTGACTTCAAGTTGGAACTTCAAGTGGAGATCTAAAGTTTGGAAAATGTGGAGCCTGGCTAAGTGGTCAAAAAGAAAAGCTGATTTTGAGGGGGAAAATTCAAGAAGGCTTAGGGTATTTGTATAAAAAGGAACCCAGTGCAAAACGCCAAGACAGTGGGAAACTGGCCTTGAAAGCATTTTAGAGATGTCTGCAGCAGCCCTTGCTGTCACAGGCCCTGGGGCCTAGGAGAAAAGAATGGTTTCCTACGCCAGTCCCATGGCTCTGCTGCTGTGCTCAACCGCAGGACACTGCTGCCGGCATCCGTGCAGCTCCAGCACCAGCCATGGCTGAAAGATGCACAGGTACAGCTTGGGTCATTGCTTCAGAGGTGCCTCAAAGTCTTGATGGTTTCCATATAGTGTTAAGCCAGTAGGTGCACAGAGAAAGAGATTAGAGGCTTGGGAACTCCCGTCTAGACTCTACAAGATGTACAGAAAATCCTGGATGTTCAGGAAGAAGCTTTTCCAAGAGGCAGAGCTTCATGGGGAACCTCTACTAGAGGAGCAAAGAAGGGACCTATAGGGTTGAAGCCCCCACACAGGGAAGCATCATTCTCTAAACCCCAGATTCATAGACCCATAAACAGCTTGCACCCTCAGCGTGGAAAAGCTATGGGCACTCAACAACAGCCCTGTCCATGAGAGACAGCTGCGGAGGCTGAACGCTGCAAAGCCACAGATGAAGATCTGCCCAAGGCCTTGGGAGCTCAGCCCTCACAGCCCTGTGCCATGGATATGGGACAAGGATTCAAAAATGGTGATTTTGGAGCTGTAGCATTAAGTAACTGGCCTGCTGGGTTTTGGACACTTATGTATCCTATGAGTCACCCACTGCCTGTACAATCATTGTACCTTGGAAGTAGTAAACTTGCTTTACAATTCACTGGCTCATGGGCAGGAGGGACTGTAGACTTGTCTCAGATAAGACTCTGGGCTTTGTGCATTTGAGTAAATGCTGGAATGAGTTAAGATTTGAGAGACTCTAGGGAAGGCATCATTACATTTTGCAATGTGAGAAAGACATGAACTTTGGGAGACCAGAGACAGAATAATAGGTTTTGGCTCTCTGTCTCTACCAAAGCTCATGTGGAATGTTAATGCAAAATGTTAAAGGTGGGGGCCGATGGAAGGTGATTTAATCATGGTGGAGAGTGGAGGTTGGATGGTTGGGGGCACCGGGAGGGTGGGGGGGATTCTGGGGTGGAGAGGGTTGGAGGGAATCGGGGGTGGGGAGGGTTGGAGGGGATTGTGGTGGGGTTGGGGGTGAAAGGCAGGGGTGGGGGTGGATCCTTCACAAATGGTTAAACACCATCTCCTTAATGCTGTCCTTCTGATAGTGAGTTATCTTCATGATTTTGGAGTTGTGAGATTGAATGAACACTGACGTACTGGATTTTGGATGTCCATTGGGCCTGTGGTCCCATTTGTGTTATTTTTCTTGGAAATTTCTTCCCTTTGGATTGAGAAAGTTTACCCAGTACCTGTACCATCATTGTACCTTGAAAGAAACAAACACCCTTTTAACTTCAGGGACTCATAGGCAGAAGAGACTGCAGCCTTGTCTCAGATGAGACTTAAAACTTTTTACATTTGAGTTAATGCAGGAAGGAGTTAAGCCTTTTGGAAACCTTTGAAAAGGCATGATTGTATTTTATTCTGTGAAAAGGATATGATATTTGGGGGGTCAAGGTCAGCATAATATGATTTGGCTGTGTGCCCCTGGAAAAACTCATGTGGAATTGTAATCCCAAATTTTGGAGATGGGGCCTGGTGGGAGATTATTTAATCATGGATGGGAGGGGTAGGGGTGGAAGAAAAAAGGGGTGGGTAGGGTGGGGAAGAATAGGCTGGCTGTAGGGCCATGGGAGGGTGATGGATAGTAGGAAGGGGGAGTAGCCTGCTGCCGAGGCCGAGGCTCATGGAAAACTTCTACCAGGGCAGTGCACCTGTGGCTTTGCAGGCTTTAGCCCCCATGGCTGCTCTCATGGGCTGGGCTGGTGTTGAGAGCCTATCACTTTTCCATACTGAGGGTGTGAACTGTTGGTAGGTCTATGAATCTGGGGTCTCGAGGATGGTGGCCTCCTGCATAGTCAGTCAAAGCCCTTATTTTCCTTCTGCACTGCCATAGTACAGGATTCCCAAGAGCCTCTGCCTCTGCAGCAGGCTTCTGTCTGGAACACTAGGAGGTGGAGCTGTGTTGGGGGGCGGATCCTTCACCAATGGTTAAGCACCATCTTCTTGATGCTGACCTAGTGATAGTGAGTTCTCATGAGATCTGGTTATATAACCGTGTGGCACCTCTTTCCTCTCTCAGCCTTGCTCCTACTCCTGCCGTATGAAATATTTCATTGCTGTTTTCCTGTTGGTATGATTGGGAGTCTTCCTGAGTCCTCCCAGAAGCAGAAGCCACTATGCTTTCTTTACAGCCTGCAGAACCATGAGCCAATTAAACCCCTTTTCATTATGATCATACAGAAAATAAAGTACTGCGAAGTGGAGCTATGAAATATATTCAATGACATTTCCCCATCGTCTTGGCTATTAGCACTGGACTTCTTTTTAATGCAAATATCTGAAGCCTTCTTGAAGTTTCCCCCTGAAAATGGACTTCTTTTTCTTCTACATTGTCAGGCTGCAACAAAGATAGCTGAAAATGTAAAGCAGGTTCAGAAGTGGGTAACAGCCAGAGGTTGGAGAGTTTGGAGAGCTTGAAAGAAGACAGGAAGATGAAAGAAATTTTGGACCATAGTAGGCACTTGTTGAATAGTTGTGATTAAAAGGCTGGCAGAAGGATGGACAGTGAAGGCCAGGCTTACAAGGTCTCAGATGAAAATGAGGAAATTACTGGGAACAGGAGCCAAGGTTACTTTTGTTTTGCTGTAGCAAAGAACATGGCTGCAGGGCGACCTTGCCCTCGAGATATGTGAAACTTTGAACTTGAGGGTGATGATTTAGTGCATATCTGGTGGAATGAACTTCTAGGCAGCATAGCACAAGGGGGATCCTGTCTGCATCAAACAGCCCATGTTCTTGTGTGACCGAGGTTATGTGTGACTGAGGAAATGACCTCAAGTTGGAACTTATATTTAAATGACAAGCAGAGCTCAAAAGTTTAGAACCATTTGCAGCCTGGCCAAGTGGTCAAAAAGAAAAGCTGATTTTCAGGGGGAAAATTCATGAAGGCTCCAGAAATTTGCATAAAATGGAGGCCAGTGCTAATAGCCAAGACAATGGGGGGAAAAAGCCTTGGAGGCATTTCAGAGATAGTTGCAGCAGCCCTTGGTGTCACAGACCCTGGGGCCTAGGAGAGAAGAATGGTTTCTGGGGCCAGCCCCATGGCCCTGCTGCTGTGTGCAGCCTCAGGACACTGCTGTCTGCATCCCAGCAGCCGCAGCTCCTGCTCCGACCTTGGCTGAAAGATGCACAGGTACAGATTGCATCACTGCTTCAGAGGGTACAAGCTATAAGGCTTCACGGCTTCCACATAGTCTTAAGCCATCGAGTCCATAGAGCACTAGCCCAGAGGCTTCAGAGCCTTCATATAGATTTTGGAAGATGTATGAAAATGCCTGGGTGTCCAGACAGAAGGCTGCCAAAAAAGCAGAGCCTCCTGGGAAACCTCTACTAGGGCAGTGCAGAAGGAAAATAGGGGGTTGGAACCCCCACACTGGAGGCCACCATATGCAGACCCCAGATTCATAGACCCACCAAGAGCTTTGTACACTCTGTGGGTAAAAACTACAGGCACTCAACACCAGCACAGCCCATGAGGGCAGCTGTGGGGACTGAAAACTGCAAAGCCACAGGTGCAGACCAGCCCCAGGCCTTGGGAGTCCAGCCCTCATGCCCTTGTGCCCTGGATGTGGGACAAGGATTAAAAAAGGATGACTTTGGAGCTGTAAGTTTGAGTAACTGGCCTGCTGGGTTTTGGATTTTCCTGGGACCTGTAAGTCCCGTTTGTGTTTCGTTGTTCTCTCTGGCAAAAATCTTCCTTTAGGGTGGGAATTCTTACTCAATGCCTGGACAATCATACCTTGGAAATAGTTAACTTGCTTTGTATTTCAGAGGCTCAGGAACAGAAGGGACTGCATCTTTGTCTCAGATGAGACTTTGGGCTTCAGACATTGAAGTAAATGCTGGAATGAGTTAAGACCTTGGAGGTCTTAGCCAAGATGATGGGGAAAAGTCATTGAAGGCATTTCATAGCTTCACTTCACAGTACTAATTTTCTGTATGATCGTAACAAAAAGGGGTTTAATCGGCTGATGGTTCTGCAGGCTGTAAAAAAAAAAGCATAGTGGCTTGGGGAATTGTAAGTAAGGCATCACTGTATTTTGCAAAATGAGAAGGACATGAGATTTGGGGAGGCAGGGACAGAATAATAAGATTCGGCTGTGTGTCGCTATGGAAACTCATGTGGAATTGTAATGAGAAGTGTTAAAATTGGGGCCAGGTGGAAGGTGATTTAATCATGGAGGGCACTGGGTGTTGGAAGGTGGAGATTGGGGAGGATGGGTGGATTATGCTGGGGGTGAGGGGTGAAAAGTGGGGGTGGGGGGATGATCTCTCAGAAATAGTTAAACACCATCTCCTTAATCCTTTCCTCATGATGGTGAGTTCTCGTGATGGTTTTGGAGCTGTGAGATTGAATGGATACTGACCTCCTGGGTTTTGGACTTGCATTGGCCCTGTGATCCCATTTGTGTTATTTTCCTGGCAAACCTTTACCCTTTGGATTGAGAAAACTTACCCAATGCCTGTACCATCATTGTACCTTGAAAGAAAAGAACTCCCTTTTAAATTCAGGGACTTGTATGCAAAAGGGACTGTAGCCTTTTCTCAGGTGAGACGTGGAACTTTTTACATTCGAGTTAATGCTGAAATGACTTAAGACTTTTGGCAACTTTTGAAAAGGCATGATTGTATTTTACTCTGTGAGAAGGATATGATATTTGGGGGATCAGGGTCAAAATAATATGGTTTAGCTGTGTGTCCCTACCTAAACTCACATGTAATTGTAATCCAGAATGTTGCAGGTGGGGACTGGTGAGAGGTGATTTATTCATGGATGGGAGAGGGGTGGGGTTGGAAGTAAAAACAGGTGGGTAAGGTGGGGAGGAGTAGGCTGGCTGTAGGGTGGTGTGTAGCAGGAAGGGAGTAGCCTGCCACAGAGGCAGAGGCTCATGGAAAACCTCTACTAAGGCAGTGCACCTGTGGTTTTGCACCTGTGGCTTTGCAGGGTTTAGCACCTGCTGCTGCTCTCATGGGCTGGGCTGGTGTTGAGTACCTGAAGCTTTTCCATACTGGGGGTGTGAGCTGTTGGTGGGTCCATGACTCTTGGGTCTGGAGGATGGTGGCGTGGGGGCTCCAAGCCCATATTTTCCTTCTGTACTGCCCTAGTAGAGGTTTTTCAAGGGGATCTGTCTCTGCCTCAGGCTTCTGCTTGGAATCAGTGGGTGGTGGATATGGGGAGGTGGGCGGATCCTTCACCAACAGTTAAGCACAATCTTCTTGATGCTGATCTCCTGATAGTGAGCTCTCATGAGATATAGTTGTATAACAGGATGTCTCACCTCTTTCCTCTCTCTGTCTTGCTTCTACTCCTGCCATATGAAATATTTCATTGCCGCTTGGCCTTCTGGTATAATTGGGAGGCTTTCTGAGTCCTCCTACAAGCAGAAACCACTATGCTTTCTTTACAGCCTGAAGAACTGTGAGTCAATTAGACCTCTTTTCCTTATGTAGATACAGAAAATTAATGCTGTGAAGTGAAGTTATGAAATGACTTCTAGGCGTTTCCCCCATTCTCTTGGCTATTAGCGCTGAGCTTTTTTCAATGCAAATATTGGAAGCCATCTTGATGTTTCCCCTGATAATAGACTTTTCTTCTTTTACCATATCGCCAGGCTGCAACAAAGATAGATGACAGTGTAGAAGCAGGTTCCAAATTGGGTAATGGCCAGAGGTTAGAGAGTTTGGAGAGCTTGGAAGAAGATAACAAGATGAGGGAAAGTTTGGACCATTGCAGAGACTTGTTAAATAGTTATGATTAAAAGGCTGACAGAAGGATGGACACTGAAGGCCAGGCTTGTAAGGTCTCAGATGAAAATGAGAAACTTACTGGGAAAAGGAGCCAAGGGTTTTTTCTTTTGCCTTAGCAAAGTAATTGGCTACACAGTGACCATTCCCTGGAGATCTGTGAAACTGAACTTTAGGGTGATGATTTAGGGTGTATCTGGTGGAATGAACTTCTAAGCAGCAAAGCTGAAGAGTTGTCCGGCCTACGTCGAACAGCCTGTGCTCCTATGTGTGATGAAAGAAATTACCATAAGTTGGAACTTATATTTAAATGAGAAGCAGAGCTTCAACATTTGGAAAATTTGTAATCTGGACAAATGGTCAAAAAGAAAAGCTGATTTTCAGGGGGAAAATCAAGAAGCCTTCGGATATTTGCATAAAAAGGAGCCCCGTGCTAATAATTCAAGACAATGGGAAAAAGGCCTTGAAGGCGTTTCAGAGACCTTTGTAGCAGCCCTTGCTGTCACTGGCCCTGGGGTTTAGGAGAAAAGAATAGTTTCCTGGCCCAGCCCCATGGCTCCACTGCTGTGTGCAGCCTCAGGACACTGCTGCCTGCATCCCTGCAGCTCCTTTTCCAGCTCCAGCCATGGATGAAAGATGCACAGGTACAGCTTGCGTCACTGCTTCAGAGGATGCAAGCTCCAAGCCTTGGTGGCTTCCACATAGTGTTAAGCCAGCAGGTGCATAAAGCACAGGACTAGAAGCTTCAGAGCCTTGGTCTGGACTCCAGAGGATATATCAGAAATCCTGAGTGTCTAACCAGAAGCTTTTCCAAGAGGCAGAGCCTCATGGTAAACCTCTACTCGGGCAGTACAAAAGGAAAGTATAGGGTTGGAGTCCCCATACAGGGAGGCACCATTTTCCAGACCCCAGTATCATAGACCCACCAGCTGCTTGCACCCTTAGTGTTGAAAAGCTACAGGCACTCAACACCAGCCTAGCCAATGAGGGCAGCTGTAGGGGGAAGATTCTGCAATGCCACATGTGCAGAGCTGCCCAAGGCCTTGGGATCCCAGCCATCACAATACCCTGTGCTCTGGATGTGGACATAGATTCCAAAAAGATGATTTGGAGCTGTATGATGGAATGCCTGGCCTGCTGGGTTTTTGACTTGCAGGGGGTTTGTAAGTCCCATCTGTGTTTTGTGCTTCTTTCTGGGAAATTTCTACTTTTTGGCTTGGAATGCTTACCCAATGCCTGTACAATCATTGTAACTTGGAAGTGGTTAACTTGCTTTGTATTTCAGAGGCTCAGGGCAGAAAATATGGCAGCCTTGTCTCAGAGGAGACTTTGGCCTTTGGACATTTGAGTAAATGCTGGGATGAGTTAAGATTTGGGGGACTCTAAGGAAGGCCTCATTGCATTTTGCAATGTGAGAAAGACATGAATTTTGGGGGACCAGGGACTGAATAATATGTTTTGGCTCTGTGTCTCTACCAAAACTCATGTAGAATTTTAATGGGAAATGTTAAAGGTGGGGGCTGGTGGAAGGTGAGTTAATCATGGTGAAGAGTGGAGGTTAGATGGTTGGGGGGTGGGGAGGGTTGGGGGGATTAAGGGGTGGGGAGGGTTGGGGGCGATTGTGGTGGGGTTGGGGGTGAAAGGCAGGGGTAGGGGGTAGATCCTTCACAAATGGACATTTGAGTAAATGCTGGAATGAGTTCAGACATTGGGGGACTGTAGAGAATGCATCATTGTATTTTGCAGTATGAGAAGGATGTGAGATTGGGGGGCCAAAGGGAGAATAATACGATTTGGCTCTGTGTCCCTACCAAAACTCATGTGGAATTATAATGGGGAATGTTAAGTGTGGGGCTTCGTAGAAGGTGATTTAATCATGGTAGAGAATGGGGGTTGGAAGGGGGATGTGGGAGAATGGAGGTTCATGGTGTGGGTGAGGGTGAAACATGGGGATGGGTGGCAGATCCTTCACAAATGGTTAAATACTATCTCCTTAATGCAGTCTGTGTGATAGTGAGTTCTCGTGATAAATGAATGCTGTCCTGCTGGGTTTTGGAGTCGGATTGGGCCTGTGTCCCATTTGTGTTATTTTTCTGGGAAAACCTTCCCTTTGGTTTAAGAAAGCCTACCCAATGCCTGTGCCATCATTGTAACTTGAAAGAAAAGAATTGTCTTTTACATTCAGGGAGTCATAGGCAGAAGGGATTGCAGCCTTGTCTTGGATGAGACTTGAACTTACTACATTTGAGTTACTGCTGGAATGAGTTAAGACTTTTTGAAACTTTTGAAAAGGCATGTTTGTATTTTTCTGTGTGAGAAGGACATGAGATGTGGGGGTGTCAGGGTCAGGATAATATGGTTTGGCTGTGTTTCCCTACAAAAACTCATGGGGAATTGTATTCCTGACAGTTATAGGTTGGGCCTGGTGGGAGGTGATTTAATCACAAACGGGAGGTTGGTAGCGGTGGAAGGGAAAACAAATGGGTAGGATGGGGAGGAGTAGGCTGGCAGTAGGGTGGTGAGAGTTTCGTGGGCAGTAGTAAGGGGGAGTAGCCTGCTGCAGAGGCAAAGCCTCAAGGAAAACCTCCACCAGGGCAGGGCACCTATGGCTTTGCAGGGTGTAGCCCCCATGGCTGCCCTCATAGGCTGGGCTGTTGCTTGAGTGCCTGTAGCTTTTCCATACTGAGAGTGCAAGCTGTTGGTGAGTCTATGAATCTGGGGTCTGAGGATGGTAACCTCCTGTGTGGGGCCTCCAAGCCCATATACTTTTTCTGTTCTGCCCTATTAGAGGTTTTGCTAGTGGCTCTGCCTCTTCCTCAGGCTTCTGCCTGGAAACAGTGAGGGGTGTGGGTGGTAGGGGGCAGAACTTTCACCAATGGTTAAGCAACATCTTCTTGATACTGACCTTGTGATAGTGAGTTCTCAGGAAATCTGGTTGTATAACAGGGTTATACAACGTGTGGCACCTTTTTCCTCTCTGTTTTGTTTCTACTTCTGCCATATAAAACATCCCATTGCTGCTTGGTCTTCTGGTATGATTGGGAGGCTTCCTGAGTCCTCCCAGAAGCAGAAGCCTCTATGATTTATTTAAAGCTTGTAGAACCATGAGCCAGTTCAACCTCTTTTCTTTCTGATTATACAGAAAAATAATGCTATGAAGTGGAACTATGAAATGCCTTCAAGGCCTTTTTCCTATTCTCTTGGCAATCAGCACTCAGCTTCTTTTCAGGCAAATGTCTGAAGCCTGCATTAATTTTTCTCCTGAAATGGACTTTTCTTCTTTTACCACATTGCCAGGCTGTGACAAACGTAGCTGAAAATGTAGAAGCAGGTTGAGAAGTGTGTAATGGCCAGAGGTTGGAGAGTTTGGAGGTCTTGGAAGAAGACAGGAAGGTGAGGAAAAGTGTGGAACAGTGTAGAGACTTGTTAAATAGTTATAATTAAAAAGGTGACAGAAGGATGGACAGTGATCACCAGGCTTAGAATGTCTCACATGAAAATGAGGAGCTTGCTGGGAACAGGAGTCAAGGTCACTTTTGTTTTTTCCTTAGCAAAGAATGTTGCTGCATGATGCCCCTAACCTGGAGACCTGTGAAATTTTGAACATCAGGGTGATAATTTAGAGTGTATTTGGTGGAATGAAATTTTAGGCAGCAAAGCTTAAGAGGTTTCCTGTCTGTGTTGAACAGCCTGTGGTCCTATATGTGACCAAAGAAATGACCTCAAGGTGAAACTTGTATTTAAATGAGAAGGAGAGCTTAAAAGTATGGATAATTTGAAGCCTGGTCAAGTGGCCAAAAAGAAAAGCTGATTATCAGTGGGAAAGTTAAAAAAGTCTTCAGAAATGTGCATAAAAAGGAGTTCAGTGCTAATAGCCAATACAATGTTAAAAAGGTCTTGAAGGCATTTCAGAGACTTTTGCAGCAGCCCTTGCTATCACAGGCCCTGAGGCCTGGGAGAAAAGAATGGTTTCCTTCTCCAGCCCCATGGCCCCGCTGCTATGTCCAACCTCAGGACACTGCTGGCTGCATTCCTGAAGCTCCAGCTCCAGCCTTGGCTGAAAGATGCACAGGTACACCTTGCATCACTGCTTCAGGGGTGCAAGCTTCAAGGCTTGGTGGCTTCCACATAGTGTTAAGCCAGCAGCTGCACACAGCACAAAACTAGACGCTTGCAAGCCTTTGTCTAGACTCCAGAGTATGTACGGAAAAACCTGGGTGTTCACACAGAATCTTTTCCAAGAGGCAGAGCCTCATGGGAAACTTTTACTAGGGCAGTACAGAAGGAGAATTTAGGGCTGGAGTCCCTAAATATGGAGGCACCATTCTCCAGACTCCAGATTCATAGACTCACCAACAGCTGGCACCCTTAGTATGGAAATGCTACAGGCACTCAACATCAGCCCAGCCCATGAGGGCAGCTGTGGGGTATAGACCCTGCACAGCCACAGGCGCAGAGCTGCCCAAGGCCTTGGAAGCCCAGGCATCACACACCTGTGCTCTAGATGTGAGATGTAGATTCAGAAAAGATGATTTGGAGCTGCAGGATTCAATGACTGGCCTGCTGGGTTTTTGACTTGCATGGGGTCTGTAAGTCCTTGTACATTTCAGTAAATGCTGGAATGAGTTAAGTCATTGGGGGACAGTAGAGAAGTCATCAGTGTATTTTGCAGTGTGACAAGGATACAAGATTTGGGGAGCAAGAGCCAGAATAATATGATTTGATTCTGTGTCCCTACCAATGCTCATGTGGAATTGTAGTGGGGAATGTTAAAGGTGGGACCTGGTGGGAGGTGATTTAATCATGGAGAAGAGTGGGTGTTGGAGGTAGGGGTGTGGGGAGAATGGGAGAGATTATTTTGTGGGTGGGAGTGAAAGGTGAAGGTGGGGGGCAGATTCTTCACAAATGAGTAAACACTATCTCCTTAATGTTGTCCGCATGACAGTGAGTTCTCTTGATGATTTTGGAGCTGTGAGATTGAGTGAATACTGTCCTGCTGGGTTTTGGACTTGCATTTGTGTTATTTTTCTGAGCAACTTCTTCCCTTTGGATTGAGAAACCTTACCCAATGCCTGTTCTACCTTGAAGGAAAAGAAATCCCTTTTAAATTCAGGGACTCATTGGCAGAAGGGACTGTAACCTTGTCTCAGATGAGATTTTGAAATTTTTACATTCGGAATGAGTTAAGACTTTTGGAAACTTTTGAAAAGGCATGATTGTGTTTTGCTCTGTGAGAAGGACATGAGGTTCTGGGGAATCAGGGTCAGAATAATATGGGTTGGCTGTGTGTCCCTATAAAACTCACGTGTCATCCTTAATGTTGGAGGTGGGCCAGGTGGGAGGTGACTTAATCTTGGATGGGAGGGGGTTGGGGTGGAAGGAAAAGGAGGGATAGTGTGGGGAGGAGTAGGTTGTTAGTAGGGTGGTGGGAGGGTGGGAGCAACCTGCTGCAGAGGCAGAGGCTCATGGGAAACCTCTACTAGGAGAGTGCACCTGTGGCTTTGCAGGGTGTAGCCCTCATGGCTGCTCTCATGGGCTGGGTTGGTGTTGAGTGCCTGTAGCTTTTCCATACTCAGAGTGTGAGCTGTTGGTGGACTTATTAATCTGGAGTCTGGAGGATCATGGCCTCTTGTGTGGGGGCTCAAAGCCTATATTTTCCTTCTGCACTGCCATAGTGGAAGTTTCATAAGAGGTTCTGCCTCTGCAGGAGGCTTCTGCCTGGAAGCAGTGGCCAGTGGTGTGGTTGGAGAATCCTTCACCATTGGTTAGTCTTCTTGATGCTGATCTCCTGATAGTGAGTTCTCATGTGATCTGGTTGTCTAACAGGATGTCACACCTCTTTCCCCTCTCTGTCTTGCTCCTACTCCTGCCATATGAAACATCTCATTGCCTCTTGGTCTTCTGATATGGTTAGGAGGGGCCTGATCAGTGTGGGCCTGCTCAGGGGACCTAGTCAGTTGGGACTTGTCAGTGAGGCCTATTTAGTGGGGGGTGGTCAGCAGGGGTCTGCTTAGAGCGGGTCTCATTAGAGGGATCTAGTAGTGCATGTCTTGTTGAGTGGGTTGATAGTGGTAGACAAATGTTTGGTGTCTGGTCAGTGCCAACCTGGGCTGTGGGACTTGGTCAGTGGAGACCTTGGGACCTAGTCAGCAGAGACACTTGTCAGTGGGGCCCTGGTCAGGGCAGGCTGGTCCGTGGAACTTAATCAGTGGGGGCCTGGTCAGAGAGGACTTGATCATTGGTGGCTTTTGTAGCACTGGTCTACGGGGTGACCTGGTCAGCGGGGATCTGAGCAGTGCGTGCCTGTTCAGTGGGGCGTAGTCATTAGGGTCCCAGTCAGGGGCATCTTGTCACCTCAGTCCTGGTTAGCAGGGGCCTGGTCACTGGCTGCCTATTCCCTGCAGGCCTGGTCAGTGGGGCTTCGTCTGTGGGACCAGACAATGGGGTCATGATCGGTGGAACCTGATCAGTGAGGCCTTGTCAGTAAGGACCTCGTCAGTGAGGCCTTGCCAGTGAGGCCTTGTCAGTAAGGTCCTCATCAGTGGAGTCCTGGTCATTGTGGGCCTGGCAGCGGGAATCTAGTTAGTGAGGCCTGGTGATGGGGCTCTAATCAGTGAGGGTGTGGTCAGGGAGGAAGTGATATGCTGGAACTGGTCACCAGGGACCTGGTCAGTGGGGGCTGCTGAGTACTGCTGGGAGATGTCAGGGGAAATGCATGTTATCGAGGAACCTGTGGACAGCTGGGGTGGCCCAGTGATGTTCAATGGCCCAGTCAAAAGTGGACAAAGCAGGTGTTTGGATGGACCTGGGAGATCTTGCTCAGAGATTCTGACAGGACAAAGGTAAAGGAAGGGCCAGAGTGGTGGGACAGATAGTCACAGTCTATGGTCTGCACAGGATGGAGGAGGCCAGGGAACAGGCAGGGTGGGCAGCTTGGTTTCAGGGAGAGGCAGGTGCATGCTGGGAGGTCAGACCCTATGAGGGTTGTGGGGGCGTCAGGTGGTGTGGGCTCCAGGTGCACCCTCAGCGCACTGGGCAGGTCTTGGCCCAGGCTCCCTGGACCTTGGCCGGGTGATGTGGTCACTTGCTGGGAGACTGTTGTCAGGTGCTGGCCACCCACTCTGGGTAGCACTGTCCCATCTCAGGACTGGACTTCCTCAGATACTGCAGAGGGCACAGCCTCCAGCCCAGGAGGGGAAGCCCCTTGGTGCAGCCTGAGCTCTCCATGGGCCTGGAGCATCCCCTGCCAGCCCTGCACTCCCTCTTCTCTCTGGTCCCGCTTTTCCAGGGTCAGCCAGTGGGGAGGCCCCGTCCTCACTTCCCTATGTGTCTCCTGGGCTGAAACTTGCAGTGCATTGGGACAGGCATGAGGCTTCCCTAAGGCCCATTTAGGGAGAGGACTGGCTCCCAGCCTGGCACAGGTCCTCAGGTCTGCCTTGGTTGCCTTAGAATGAGATGTATCAGTCAGTGCCCTGAAGGTAAAGGTAGGAGACTGTCCCTGCTGTTGGGAGGCTGGTCTAGGGATGGAGGACTTCACAGGTCCTCCCAGTCTGTCAGGCCTGGGCAGCACTGTCCTGTTTTAGGACTCAGAAAGTCCAGTTCTGGGATGGGACGGCGCTGCCCAGGGAGGGTGGCCAGGGTCTGACAGCAGTCCCCCAGGGAGTGACCACATCACCCAGCCGGGGTCCAGGGAGCCTGGCCTGAGACCTGCCCTGTGCACTGAGGGTGCACCTGGAGCCCACTCCACCTGATGCCCCCACAGCCCTCACAGGTCCTGACCTCCCAGCATGCACCTGCCTCTCCCTGAATTCCAGCTGTCCACCCTGCCTGTTCCCTCAGTTCCTCCATTCTGTCCAGCAGGATGGGATGGGCAGGGGGACAACCTGTGTGCACATTTCATGGCAAGCAGGAGTGACACACCATCCCTGAGAGGCGCCTTGGTTCCTCCAAAACCTGGCCCCAGAACTCTGTCCTTGGGGTGGTTTTACCAAACCCCAAACCCAGAACTGTGGTTGTGGCTCAGGGGTCAGCACCCGCTAGTTCTACAATGTTGCCAAGGACTTTGATTGTACAATGTTCTTCTTTTCAATAGTCATTCCAAATATTGTGAGATGCACTGTTTCAGGAAGCCCCTTGCCCTCCTAAAAGCCACCCTACTTCTCTCTAAGGAGAATGGCCCAGTCCTCTCCCGAGTTCACACATTGTAGGCGATAGCATTGCTTTTGTGTAAATTATGTAATGCAAATTTTTTTAAATCTTTGCCTTAATACTTTTAAATTTTGTTTTATTTTGAATGACTAGCCTTCATGGCCCCACTTTTTTGTATCCCAACTTGGAATGTATGAAGGTTTTTGGTCTCCCTGAGAGTGGCTCGAGGCAGCCAGGGCTTACCTGTACTCTGACTTGAGAAAAGTTGGATAAAAGTGTTCACCTTAAAAAAAATTGAATGACGAAGCATTAACAAAAACAGTATTTCAGTACAGTGGACAGCTTAGCATTTTGACAATTGGGAATAAAATGCTCATTTCTGAACTGTACAATGTAAGACACAAAAACAAAACACTGGAAATGGAAATTCAATTATGTCATTATAGACTGGCTACTGCTCTACATGACTGTGACCAACGTCAGATAGTTGAAAGAGATTTCTTTCCAGAGAACAAGACATGAACAGGTTTATTTACAGTAAACAATGAATTCTCATATATCTAACCTAAAATATAGCAGATTCTTTCCGAACAAGTCTAATGTAGACAGTAAAATTAACAGGCTAAAAATTAAACTCCATCAAACAAGATGAACTCTGAGAGAATAGATGGGGCAGGCCGCCATCTTTCCTGTTCAGGCAACTTAGTCATTCCAGCCTGAGGGCTTTGGAGAGTATAAACCGACAAGGGGCAGAAGAGATCCCACAGCACAGCATAGCTGCTTTACCAAATCATGGCCAGAATGCTTCTGTAAGCAGGCCCCCGACCCTGTTGCACATCACTGTACAGGACCTCCCAAATGGGGCCTCCAGCTACCGCCACCAGCATTCCTTGGCCAATAGAAATTTGAAGTGTTCATGGGACAGAGCTCCCAGAGAGAGGGGCAGGCCACCACCTTTTCTGTTTGGGTGACTAGCCGTTCTGGTTTGTGGGCTTTGGAAAGCCCAAGTTGACAAGGGGTGGAAGAGGAACCTCAGCGCAGCACGGCCACACTACAAAAACGTGGCCAGACTCTTGTTTAAGTCAGTCCCCGACCACATTTCTAATCAGCAGGTGAAGCCTTTCAACCAAGGTCTCCAGCTGCCTTCACTGCTGTTCTCTGGCCGACAGAGGTTTCAGGCCTCCCTGAGTCAGAGCTCCCAGGGGGAGGACCAGACTGTTGTCTTTGCTGTTGGGGCAACTCAGCCATTTCAGCATTAGGGCTTCAGAGTGTCTGAGGCAACCAGGAGTGGAAGTGAACACCCGGCATAGCACAGCTGCTCTAGAAAAACGTGCCCAGACTTTTTTTTCTTTAACTCAGTGCCTGTTTTTGTTCCTCCTGACTAGATAAGACTTCTCAACTTGTCTCCAGTCACATCTTATAGGTGCGTTCATACTGGCAACAAGTTCGTACCTCAGTGGCACAGAGCTCCCAGAGGAAGGGGCAGGCTATCATCTTCCCTGGAAAATACAAGGCAGTTAGGGACTGGAAGGGACCCCCAGCATACCACAGCAGCCTGACAGAAAAGTGGCCAGACAGTCTACTTGATGGGCAGGTCCTACTGACCTGGGTCTCCAGCCAGTCCACCATCGGAGCTATCCAGCCAGTAGCAACTCAGCAATTCCCTGGACAGAGCTTCCAGGAGCAAACGAAATTCTCTCTGCCATTGCCTCCGCAGTGAAACTGCCCTTGCTACCCTCAGAATATCAAGGGAGCAAAGACCCTAAGTGCCATATTGACACCTCCAATAAGCTGCGGTTGACCCAATGAACAAGCCAGTCCATCTCCCACGGGTACCACACACCCCCCACTGCTCATCACCAGAGAGGGAACACTGGCTTGACCTCAGAACACAGACCCTCCATCCTGGGCTGATTACGCTAAGTGATTGCTAACTCACATCTCTATGGGATGGAGCACCCAGGAGACAAGCAGAGTGGTGGAGCAGCAAGTCAGGTGATGTGGAGCCCAGAGGGCAGGGACAGCTATCTCTCTAGGCTCCACGTGCCCTTGTGAGACACTTTATCCCAGCACTTTAGGAATGCTAAGTTCAGATCAGCCCCATCTCATGTTCAGGATTGCCCAGCAGAGATCAGGTCCCAGAGTTCCCCTCCTCAAAAAGGGGACTTGCTTAAAAAAGAAGCCTGACCATGTTTGTGTAAAGCATCTATGCTGTGCCGGGGGTTCACTTTTGAGAGAGTTCTCCTCTGAGACCTGATCTCTGCTGGGCAGCCTTGCACATGAGATAGGGCTGGTCTGATATCAGCACTCCTTTGTCTTCTTGCCTCTCCCAGGACCCCAGCCTGGCCACATCTGCATACAGGGCACTCTCGGATGCCCACAGCATAGCTTCCGTGCTAGTGGACTGTACCTGATCAGTGGAGAGCTGCAGCAAGGTGGCCCCAACAGCCACGCACCAGCCTGCACATTACCTCTCCATACTGCAGCCCTTTATATGGAAACTTCCTACATCACTTTGCTGTATGTGTTTCCACATGTGGGTTTTGCTGTACTTGCCCTGACAGCACAGGGGAGTGCAGGACACACCCCAACCCACACCAACTGCCATTGAAGACAGAGCCTTGGTGGGCACAGAACCAAGAACCCCACCCCTGCCAGCACCTAACCCTTGAGCAAATGCTGTGCAGAGAAAAAGGGACCTTCTTATACCCTGAGTGACCACTGTTGCTTTGAGGGGCACAGAGAAGGCACCATGGCCTGCACTGGCCAGCAGCCCACCCTGAACCAACACTACCTCCAGTGCAACACACACACAGCAGGGGACCCCTGGCCCACACCCCAGCTGTCTTGCCTCCACCACTGGGTGAACGCCCGCAGGGAGGCAGGGACTTTTGCATCCACTAGCATTCTGCCACATTTGCCACACTTTGGTCCCCTCAGTGCAGTGGACTCCAAACCTCCAAGAGCCAGAGAACAAAGTTGGGACCCAAGACAAGTTCCCCAGAGTTAAAGCACACAGTCCAGGAATTGGAAGCTGCACATTGGCCCCCCTAAAATCCTCCAAAAACAAAGCCAGTTGGTTGAATCCACCTTATCCCACAATGAAACCCTCAAGATCATCAAATACAATAAAACAAAAATACGCTGTCCGAAGGTCAGCAGCCTCAAAGATGGAAGGTGGATAAGCCCATAAAGATGAGAAAGAATCTGTGCGAGAACACTGAAAACTCCAAAAGTCAGCATGTTTTCTTTCCTCCAAATGACTGTATCAACTCTCCAGCAAGTGTTCAGAACTGAGCTGAGGCTGAGATGTCTGGAATGATACAAGCTGGGTTCAGGATATGCGCAGGAACAAAGTTCACTGAGTGAAAGACGTATGTTGTCATGCAATACAAGTGAGCTAAAAATCATTGTAACACATTGTAGGAGCTAACAGACAAAATAGCAAGTACAAAGAAGACACAACCGACCTAATAGAGCTGAAAAGCACACTACAAGAATTTTCATAATGCAGTCACATAGTGATTATGTGTGATTGCATTATAAAAATTATTGTAGTGTGTGTGGGCACCTGAGATTGCCCTGTAAGCAGGTGTGGCCAGGCTGGGGTCCTGGGAGAGGCAAGCAGACTAAGGAGGGCTGAGGTCAAACCAGCTCCATCTCATGTGCAAGACCACCCAGCAGAATAGACCAAGCAGAGGAAAGAATCCCAGAGCTTGAAAACTGGCTTTCTGAAATAAAACAGGCAGACAAGAATGGGGGAAAAAAGAAGGAAAATGAATGAACAAAACATTCAAGAAATATGAGATTATATAAACGACCAAATCTATGACTGATTAGTGTACGTTAAAGAGATGAGGAGAATGGAACCAACTTGGAAAACATACTTCAGAATATCATTCATGAGATTATCCCCAACCTATCCAGACAGGCCAACATTCCAATTCAGGAAATCCAGAGAACCTCAGTAAGATAAGCCACGAGAAGATCATCCCCAAGACATATACTCATCAGATTCTCCAAGGTCAAAATGAAAGAAACAATGTTAAAGGCAGCTAGAGAGAAAGGCAACGTCACCTGCAAAGGGAATTCCATCAGACTTAGCAGACTTCTCAGCTGAAACCCTACAAGCCAGAAAAGATATTCAACTTCTTAAAGAAAAGAAATTTCACGTAGTATGGCAGAGACAGATGTACCATATAATAACATGGTGTTATTATAAATGGTTAAAAGAAAAAGAAATTTCAACCCAGAATTTCATGTCCAGCAAAATTAAGCATCATAAGTGAAGGAGAAACAAGATCCTTTTCAGACAAGCAAATGCTGAGAGAATTCATTATCACCAGATCTACCTTACAAGAGCTCCTGAATGAAGCACTAAATATGGAAAGAAAAGACCATCACCAGCCACTACAAAAATGCACCGAAGTACACAGACCAGTAATGCTAAAAAACCAACCACATACACAAGTCTGCAAAATAACTAGCTGACAGCATGACGACAGGATCTAATCCACACATACCATTACTAACCTTAAATGGAAATGGGCTAAATGCTCTGATTGAAAGACACAGGGGGGCAAGCTGGATAAAGAACCAAGACCCATTTGAGTATGCTGTCTCCAAGAAACCCATCTCACATGCAGTGCCATACATAGGCTCAAAATGAAGGAATGGTGAAAAATCTTTCAAGCAAATGGAAAACAGAAGAAATCAGGTGTTACACTCCCAGTTTCGACAAAACGTATATACCAATAAAGATAAAAAAAGACAGAGAAGGTCATTACAAAGGTGGTCCTGACCTTTGATAAATCTCATTATTGATTGATACCAACCTAGGCTATCTTTATTGCCCAAACCAACAGGATAATTTGCTGAGGTTGTGGAGCTTCTCCCCTGCAAAGAGTCCCTGATCTCCCAAAATCTGGTTTAGATCTAAGTTTGATTTTTCTGTACAACTCCTTTTCTGAAGTTTTACTCATTTCCAACAAGGAAGGCAAGTTTTCCTGCTTCTGTGGTGATGGAGAGCAGGCACCTCCTTTCCTGAGTTTCAGCTTGCTTCTGACAGGGAAGGTGAGTGTAAGTTGTTTTCAGCTTCTAACATGGCAGAGAACGATCACCAGCCTGAGCCTTGTTTCCAGGTAAGTAGCTGAATTAGAGTTTTGTCTTAAAATTTTTCCTTAATGACTAAAATTTAAGATTACTCACCAGCTGCTTTTAATTTCTGCTTTTAGTTTCTCCTTACCATTAGAACACTCAGTAATCATATGAATTGTGCATTTGTTGTTTTGCTTAACTCTTTTTGTTTGTTTATGCTTGGGGCTTTATTGTTGTTGTTTCACTTTTCTCCCTTCTCTTCCTGACTTGGTCAAATCCAAAGGAATTTTCCAAATTGTGGGGAGCAAGCCCTCTGAATTGGCTAAAACTCCTATGGCTGCAAACAAACAAACAAACAAATAAACAACAAAAAAAAACATTCCAGTTAGCAGAAATTATTTTTTAAAACTTTTTTTTTTTTACATAAGTGGTCTCATCTACATAACAAGGCCACCCTTTTGCTAGCCAAGGCTAAACTGAAGGAGTAGTGGTGGTGACCCAATGTGAAGATTCTGCCCTGTTCACTACAGAAACCTGAGTTTGGTTCCTAAGTCTAGTTCTTTCTGTTTGATATTTGTGTTACTTTTAAAGCGTCAGCAGTTTGTCCCAGCTATGATGTGGTAATAAAAGATTCAAAAGGATTTTCTTCACAAGTTCTATGATTAAAAGCTTAATTAAAAGCAAATTTCTTTTTTTTTAAAAGTTCTGGGGTACATGTGCAGAACATGCAGGTTACATAGGTATACACATGCCATGGTGGCTTGCTGCATCCATCAACCCACGATCTACATTAGTTATTTCTCCTAATGCCATCCCTCTCCTAGCCCCCCACCCTGACAGGCCCTAGTGTGTGATGTTCCCCTTCCTGTGTCCATGTGTTCCCATTGTTCAACTCCCAGTTATGAGTGAGAACATGTGGTGTTTGGTTTTCTGTTCTTCTGTTAGTTAGCTGAAAATGATGGTTTCCAGCTTCATTCATGTCCCAGCAAATGACGTGAATTCATCCCTTTTTATGGCTGCATAGTATTTCGTGGTGTATATATGCCACATTTTCTTTATCCAGTCTATCATTGGTGGGCATTTGGGTTGGTTCCAAGTCTTTGCTGTTGTGAACAGTGCCGCAATAAACAGACAGGTGCATGTGTCTTTATATTAGTATGATTTATAATTTTGGGCGTATATACCCAGTAATGGGATTGCTGGGTCAAATGATATTTCTGGTTGTAGATCCTTGAGGAATTGTCACACTGTCTTCCACAATGGTTGAAGTAATTTATATTCCCACCAACTGTGTAAAAGCTTTCCTATTTCTCCACGTCCTCTCTAGCATCTGTTCTTTCCTGATTTTTTAACGATGACCATTCTAAGTGGTCTGAGATTGTATCTCATTGTGGTTTTGATTTCCATTTCTCTAATGACCAGTGATGATGTGCTTTGCTTCACATGTTCGTTGGCTGTATAAATGTCTTCTTTGGTAAGTGTCTGTTCATACCCTTTGCTCACTTTTTGATGGTTTTTTTTTCTTGTAAATTTGTTCTTTGTAGATTCTGCATATTAGCCCTTTGTCAGATGGATAGATTGCAACATTGTTCTCCCATTCTGTGGGTTGCCTGTTCACTCTGATAATAGTTTCTTTTGCGCTGCAGATACTCTTAAGTTTAGTTAGATCCCATTTGTAAATTTTGGTTTTTGTAGCCATTGCTTTTGGTGTTCTAGTGATGAAGACTCTGCCCATGGCTATGTCCTGAATGGTATTGCCTAACACAAGGACATTTCTGTGCCTGACTGCTATACCACCCAAAGTAATTTATAGACTCATTGCTGTCCCCATCAAGTTACCATTACTTTCTTCACAGAATTAGAAAAACTACTTTAAATTTCATATGGAACCAAAAAAGAGCCCACATGGCCAAGACAATCCTAAGCAAAAACAGCAAAGCTAGAGGCATCACAGTACCTGACTTCAAATTATTCTACAAGGCTACAGCAACCAAAACAGCATGGGGCTGGTAACAAATCAGATCTATAGACCAATGGAACAGAACAGAGCCCTCAGAAATGACACCACACATCTAAAAGCATCTGATCTTTGACAAACCTGACAAAAACAAGCAATGGGAAAGGATACCCTATTTAATAAATGGTGTTGGGAAAACTGGCTAGCCAAATGCAGAAAACTGAAACTGGGCCACAACCATACACCTTAAACAAAAATTAAGTAAGATGGATGAAAGAGTTAGAAGTAAGACCTAAAACCATAAAAAATCTAGAAGAAAACCTAGGCCACCAACCTCAGGGGAAATGACCTGTAGTGAAATGCATGGTACAAACAAGCATTCCCTGCTTCCTTGAGTGGGCAAAGTTGATGGCTAATCCAACCACTTCAGGCACACCCTTGCAAACGCGGCTGGTTGCTTTTTGAGCCAGCTTGGCCTTGCCCGGCATACACAAGCCTCAATGCAACAACTTTGCTAAAAATGGAGCCACACAGAGGAAATGAGCAGCAAGCTCAGAAGCAGGGTGTGCACTGCCTTTGGGGCTCCAGTCCATGCCTCAGGGCTTGTATGGGACTGCAGGATTCTTGGTTGCCAAGAGGTAGACCATAGACCAGCCGAGGAGGACTTTATGTTCAAGGGCAGAAAGCAGCCAGGTTTACCACCCAGGGGACTCGGCCTTCTGTGGCCCCGGCCAGACTTAGAATTTGGCTCAAAGCAGGACCAGCTCACTCGGAGTAGTGTGTCAGTAGCTGGGGCCTGTACATGCTAGGCAAGGCTAAGCTGGCTCAAAGAGCAACCAGCCACCACTGCAAGGGTGCTCCTGGATGAGGTGGAGCAGCCAGCAACTTCAGCTACACAAGGAAGCAGGGATGGCCAGGTTCCCACAGCATGAGTGGCCACCGCCTGATGGCTGATCAAGCAGAGGCCTGAGGAAAAGCAGATGGCAGTTGGGCCCTACCTCTAGGGTAGAAGAACTGATGTACCCTGACCGGTAGTGAGTGAGGTTGGTGGTGGGTCCACCGGCTCCTGGCACACCCTTGCAGAGGAGGCTGTTTGCTCTTTAAGGCAGCTTGGCCTTGCCTGGCATGCACAGGCCCCAGGTACCGACACGCTGCTCCCAGTGAACTTGTTCTGCCTTGGACCAAATTCTAAGTGGCTTGGAGTTTGCCCAGCATGCCCAAGCCTCAGTGTAATAACTGTGCAACAAATGGAGCCACATAGCCGAAACGAGCAGCAGGCTCAGAAGCAGGGTGTGCCCTGCCTTTGGGGCTCCAGTCGATGCCTCAGGGCTCCTATGGCACTGCGGGTTTCTTGGTTGCCTAGCTGCAGACCACAGGCTGTCTTGAGGAGGACTTTATGTTCAAGTGCAGAAAGTAGTCAGGATTACCATCCAGGGGACTCTGCCTTCTGTGGTCCTCTCCAGACTTAGAATTTGGCCCAAGGCAGGACAAGCTGGTTCGGAGCAGAGTGTCAGTACCTGGGGCCTATGCATGCCAGGCAAGGCCAAGCTGGCTCAGAGCAACCAGCCACCTCTGCAAGGCTGTGCCTGTAGCAGGCGGACAAGCCAGCAACCTCACCCGCTCAAGGAAGCCCGGATGGCCAGGTTCCAACAGCATGAGTAGCTGCCACCTGATGCCTGATGGAGCAGAGGCCTGAGGAAAAGCAGGTGGCATATTTAACTCTTTAATCCATCTTAAGTTAATTTTTGTATGAAGCAGACGGCACCAGTCCATGCCTCAGGGCTCATATGTCACTGCGGGCCACAGAAGGGCGAGTACCCAGGGTGGTAATCCTGCCTGCTTTCTGCACTTGAACATAAAGTCCTCCTCAAGACGGCCTGTGGTCTGCCTCTTGGCCCCACCTTTAGGGTAGAAGAACTGATGTACCACGTCTGGCAGTGAGTGAGGTTGGCGGCTGGACCATCTGCTCCTGGCACACCCTTGCAGAGGTGGCTGCTTGCTCTTTGAGCCAGCTTGGCCTTGCCTGGCATGCACAAGCCTCACAGCAACAAGTGTGCTACAAATGGAGCCATATAGAGGAAATGATCAGCAGGCTCAGGAACGGGGCGTGCACTGCCTTTGTGGCTCCAGTCCATGCCTCAGGGCTCGTATGGCACTGTAGGCTTCTTGGTCGCCAAGAGGCAGAACACAGGCTGTCTTGAGGAGGACTTTATGTTCAAGTGCAGAAAGCAGCCAAGATTAGCACCCAAGGGACTGGGCCTTCTGTGGCCCTGGCCAGATTTAGAATTTGACCCAAGGCAGGACAAGCTGACTCGGAGCAGAGTGTCAGTACCTGGGGCCTATGCATGTCAGACAAGGCCAAGCTGGCTCAGAGCAACTAGCCACCTCTGCAAGGCTGTGCCTGTAGCAGGAAGACAAGCCAGCAACCTCAGCTACTCAAGGAAGGAGGGATGGCCATGTTCCCACAGCCTGTGTGGTTGCCGCCTATGACTGATAGAGCAGAGGCCTGAGGAAAAGCATATGGCACTGGGGCCCTACCTCTAGGGTAGAAGAACTGATGTAACCTTACCAGCAGCGAGTGACGTTGGTGGCCGGTCCACCGGCTCCTGGCACAACCTTGCAGAGGTGGCCAGTTGCTTTTTGAGCCAGCTTGGCCTTGCCCGGCATGCTCAAGTCTGTGCAACAACTGTGACACAAATGGAGCCACACAGAGAAAATGAGCAGCAGACTCAGGAGCAGGGTGTGTCCTTCCTTGGGGGCTCCAGTCCATGCCTGAGGGTTCATATGGCACTGCGGGCTTCTTGGTTGCAAAGAGGTAGACCACAGGCCATCTTCAGGAGGTCTTTATGTGGAAGTGCAGAAAGCAGCCAGGATTACCACCCGTGGGACTCGGCCTTTTGTGGCCCTGGCCTGACAGAATTTGGCCCAAAGCAGGACAAGCTCACTCGGAGCAACATGTCGGTACCTGGGGCCTGTGCATGCCAGGCAAGGCCAAGCTGGCTCAAAGAGCACCCAGAGCATCCATTCTGGTGGATGAGCCAACCACATGGCCAGCTTCTGGGTGTGGGCACAGTGCCACATCTTCCATCACTTTCTGATGTATCCCACCGGAACTGAAGAGACAGCCTGGAGAGAGTGCAAGAGGAAGGCTGAGAAGGATGAGATAGTGAGTGCCGGCTTCTTTCTGACCCTCAGTACAACCCCAGGTGGTGACCATCAACCTTTAGGGGTGGGAGAGCAAGACTGATGGCTTCAAATGCTTCCCCAAGAAGATGGACACAGGCCACTCAGCTCAACCTCACAGCCAATGAGTTGACAAGCAAGCAGATGACAGTGACAGGCTTTTAGAAAGAGCATCAGAACATGGCCAGTTTTTCTTCAGCCTCAGCCAGGCCTTGGAACTTGACTAGGCCATCCACTTCACCAGAGATGCCTTCAAGAACATCAGTAAGCTCCTTGCCAATCAGTCCAGGAAGGACCTGGACCCAGCCATGGACCTGTTAGTGCTGTCTCAGGGACACCAGACCAACATCCTGGACATCATCCTCATACACAAGGAAGCTCTTACCAAAGTCACGGAGAACAGGCAACATGTGGCAGAAGGGAAGACAGAGGTGCAGAGGCTGATGGCGTCATTATCACAGGAACAGGATTTCTTTGGCCACTTTGGCTGAAATTCACCACTTCCATCCAATTCACTCGAGTGAGAGACTTGAAATCACAGATGGAGCATTTCTTGCAACAAGAGATACTATTTTTTCAAAAAGTCACCTAAAATTTGATAGTGTTGAATGACTAGCTATTCGATTGTGGACTTTTTCCAGTTCACGGGTACTTTCTACAGCAGAATGATAACAGTATCAAAGAGCTAGTGCCAGCTATCGGTGGTAGTACAAGGATGACTTTGTGCTCAACTGAAACCCAGCTGAATATAGAATTGTGTAGGAAAGTGTTAATATGGTGATAGAATAGAAAGAGTGGCAAATGAACTAAATCATACTATGAATGCCTACACTACCATTATAACTTTTTGAAGAATGATAATACCACTTACTTTATTGCCTTTTGAAGTAGGGATATTTTAGTGGATATGCTATAGACCTGAAACCCTATAAAGAATCCCAAAGAAGTTGGCTGGATAAAGCCTGCTATGCATGTCTTTATACTCAAAGACTGATGAGGCAATTCGAATATGTGTCCCCACCAAATCTCATGTTGAGTTATGCTTCCTAATGTTGGAGGTGGATCCTCGTATAAGGTGATTGAATCATGAAGGCGAATTTCTCATGAGTGGTTCAGCACCATCCCCTTGGTACTGTCCTCACAATCATGAGTGAATTCTCGTGAGATCTGGCCACTGAAAACTCTATATCACTCCCTACTCTCCGTGATTTCCTCTTGCCATGTGAGACAATTCACTCTTTCATTACCTTGCACAATGATTGAAAGATTTCTGAGGCCCCCCAGAAGCAGAAGCACTAAGCTGCCTGTCCACTCTGCAGAACCATGAGCCAATTAAACCTCTTTTTCAAAATAAATCTTACCAAAAATGGCAAATGAGGACTGCAGCATTGCTATAAAGATACCTGAAAATGTGGAAGCAACTTCGGAACTCTGTAATGGGTAGAGGTTGGAAGAGTTTGGAGGGCTCCAAAGAAGACAGATAGATGAGAGCATTTTTGGACCATCTTAGAGACTGGTTAAATGGCTGTGACAAGAATGCTGACAAAAACATGGACAGTGAAGGCCAGGCTGAGGGGGCCTCAGATAAAAATAAGAAGCTTTCTGGAAAATGTCTCCCTTTTGGATATGGAAAGCTTACAAAATGCCTGTACCATCATTGTACCTTAGACGCAGTGAACTTGCTTTTTATTTCAGAGACTCGTAGGCAAAAGAGAATGTAGCCTTGACCCAGATGAGACTTTGGACTTTGTAACTATGAGTTAATGCTGAAATGAGTTAAGACTTTGTGAGACTGCTGGCAAGGCATGACTGTATTTTGCAGTGTGAGAAGGACATGAGATTTGTGGGGTCAGGGACAGAATAATACGGTTTTTCTCTATGCCCCTTCCAAAACTCATGTGAAAGTACACTCCCTAATGTTAGAGTCGGGGCCTAGGTGGAAAAAGCTTTAATCATAAAGGGGTGGGAGTGGATCCTTCACAAATGGCAAAGCACCAAGCCGTTAATGCCATCCTCCTGATAGTGAGTGAGTTCTCATGAGATCTAGTAGTTTAAAAGGCTGTGGAACCTCTTTCCTCTCTCTGTCTTGTTCCAACTTTTGCCATATGAAACTTGTCATTGCCCCTTGGATTTCCGGTGTGGTTAGGAGGGGCCTGATCAGTGTGGGCCTGGTCAGTGGACCTAGGTCAGTGAGGACTATTTAGTGGGATCGTGGTCAGCAGAGGTCTGCTTAGAGAGGGTCTCATTAGTGGGGTCTAGTAGTGGGGGTTTTGCTGAGTGGGGACCTATTGGCTGCCAGTTGTTTGGTGTCTGGTCAGTGCAAACCTGGGCTGTGGGGCTTGATCAGTGGAGACCTGGTCAGCTGGGGCTCAGTGCTGGTCTGGTCAGCATGGGCTGGGGCACTGGTGACCAGGTCAAGGGGTGCTATTCAGTGGAGGACTGGGCACATGGGACCTAGTCAGCAGACCCTGGTGGGTGTGTCCTCATCAGTGAGGCCCTTGTCAGTGGGACCTAATCCATATCGTCCTGGTCAGAGAGGACTTGGTCAGTGGTGACTTTTGTAGCACTGGTCTACAGGGTGACCTGGTCAGCAGGGATCTCAGCATTTGGTGCTGGTTCAGTGGGGTCTACTCACTAGGGTCCCAGTCAGGGGCATCTGGTGACCTTAGGCCTGGTTATTAGGGACCTGATCAGTGACAACCTGTTCCCTGGAGGCCTGGTCAGTGGGGCCTCATCTTTGGGGCCAGGGAATGAGGTCATGATCAGTGGAACCTGATCAGTGAGGCCTTATCAATAATCACCTAGTCAGTGAGGACTTGTCAGTAAGGACTTGGTCCGTGAGGCCTTGTCAGTGAGGCCTTGTCAGTAAGGTCCTGGTCAGTGGAGTCCTTGTCATTGTGTGCCTGGCAGTGGGGGCCTTGTTAGTGGGGCCTGGTCATGAGGGTCTAATCAGTGAGGGTGTCATCAGGGAGGACCTGATGTGCGGGGTCTGGTCAGCAGGGACCTGGTCAATGTGGGCTGCTGAGCACTGCTTGGATAAGCCAGGTGCAATGTGCATTATTGAAGGCCCTGTGGACAGCTGGGATAGCCCAGTGATGCCCAAGGGCCTAGTCAAAAGTGGACAAAGCACGTGTTTGGATGGACTTGGGAGATCCTGCTCAGAGATTCTGACAGGACAAAGGTAAAGGAAAGACCAGAGTGGCTGGAGAGATGGTCACAGTCTGTGGGCTGCACAGGATGGAGGAGGCCAGGGAACAGGCAGGGTGGGCAGTTGGGGTTCAGAGAGAGGCAGGTGCATGCTGGGAGGTCAGACCCTGTGAGGGCTTTGGGGGCGTCAGGTTGGGTAGGCTCCAGGCACTCTCACTCACATAGGATTCCAGAACACTGCTACAAGGATCTGAGTGTTTGTCCCTCACATAGGATTCCAGAACACTGCTGCCATTGTCTGAATGTTTGTCCCCCACATAGGATTCCAGAACACTGCTGCGAGAGTCTGAATGTATGTCCCTCACATATGATTCTAGAACATTGATGCTAGGGTCTGTATGTTTGCCCTTAACATATGATTTCAAAACACTGCTCCTGGATTCTGAATGTTTGTCCTTCACATAGGAATACAGAATACTGCTGCTGGAGTCTGAATGTTTGTCACTCACATAGAATTCCAGAACACTGCTGCGAGGATCTGAATGTTTGACCCTCACATGGGATTCCAGAACACTGCTGCTAGGGTCTAAATGTCTGTCCCTCACATAGGTTTCCAGCACAATGTTATGAGGTTCTGAATGTTTGTCCCTAACATAGGATTCCAGAGCACTCCTGCTGTGCTCTGAATGCTTCTCCCTCACATAGGATTCCAGAACACTGCTACGAGGGTCTGAATGCTTATCCCTCATATAGGATTCCAGAACACTCCTGCTGTGGTCTGAATGTTTGTTCCTCACATAAGATTCCAGAACACTCCTGCCATGGTCTGAATATTTGTCCCTCACATAGGATTCCAGAACATTCATGCTGGGGTCTCAATGTTTCCCTTAACATAGGATTTCAGAACACTGCTCTTGGGGTCTGAATGTTTGTCCCTCACACAGAATTCTGGAACACTGCTACAAGGGTCTGAATGTTTGTCCTTCACATACCATTCTAGAACACTGCTGCCGTGGTCTGAATATGTCCCTCACATAGGATTCCAGAACACTGCTACTAGGTTCTGAATGTTTTTCCCACACCTACGATTCCAGAACACTTCTGCTGGTGTCTGAATGGTTGTCCCTCACATATGATTCCAGGACACTGCTACGAGAGTCTTAATGTTTGTCCTTCACATAGGATTCCAGAACACTGCTCCCGTGGTCTGAATGTTTGCCCCTCACATGGGATTCCAGAACACTGCTGCGAGGGTCTAAATGTCTCTCCCTCACATAAGATTCCAGGACACTGCTACGAGGTTCTGAATGTTTGTCCCTCACATAGGATTCCAGAGCACTCCTGCTGTGTTCTGAATATTTGTCCCTCACATAGGATTCCAGAACACTGCTAAGAGGGTCTGAATGTTTGTCCCTCACATAGGACTCCAGAACACTGCTAAGAGGGTCTGAATGTTTGTCCCTCACATAGTATTCCAGAACACTCTTGCTTTGGTCTAAATGTTTGTTCCTCACATAGGATTCGAGAACACTCCTGCTGTGGTCTGAATGTTTGTCCCTTACCTAGGATTCGAGAACATTCACACTGGGATGTAAATGCTTGCCCTGAACATAGGATTTCAGAACACTGCTCCTGGGGTCTGAAAGTTTGTCCCTCACATAGGATTCCAGAACTCTCCTGCTGTGGTCTGAAAGTTTGTACCACACATAGGATTCCAGAACACTGCTGCTGTGGTCGGAATGTTTGTCACATAGATTTCCAGAACACTGCGGCTGGGTTCTGAATGTTTGTCCCTCACATAGGATTTCAGAACACTGCTACGAGGGTCTGATTGTTGGTCCCTCACATAGGATTCCTGAACACTGCTGCTGGGCTCTGAATGTTTGTCCCTCACATTGGATTGCAGAACACTACTGCTATGGCCTGAAAGTTTGTCCGTCACATAGGATTCCAGAAAGCTCCTGCTGTGGTCTGAATGTTTCTCTGTCACATAGGATTCCAGAACACTGCGGCTGGGGTCTGAATGTCCCTGACATAGGATTCCAGAACATTGCTATGAGGGTCTGAATGGTTGCCTTTCACATAACATTCCAGAACACTGCTACGAGGGTCTGAATGTTGGTCCCTCACACAGGATTCCAGAACCCTCCTGCTGGGGTCTGAAAGTTTGTCCCTCCCAAAGGATTCCAGAACACTGCTATGAGGGTCTGAATATTTGTCCCTCACATAGGATTCCAGAACACTCCTGCTGTGGTCTGAATGGTTGTCCCTCACATAGGATTCCAGAACACTTCTGCTGTGGTACGAATGTTTGTGTCTCACGTAGGATTCAAGAACACTGCTACGAGGGTCTCAATGTTTGTCCCTCACATAAGATTCCAGAACACTGCTGCTGGGGTCTGAATGCTTGTCCCTCACATATGATTACAGAACACTATTGCTGGGGTGTGAATGTTTGTCCCTCACATAGGATTCCAGACCACTGCTACTGGGGTCTCAATATCTGTCCCTCAAAAAGGATTCCAGAACACTGCTACGATGGTCTGAATTTTTGTCCCTCACTTAAGACTGCAGAACACTGCTTCGAGGGTCTAAATGTCTGTCCTTCACATAGGACTCCAGAATACTGCTACGAGGGTCTGAAAGTTTGCCCCTCACATAGGATTCCAGAAGACTGCTGCTGGGGTCTGAATGTCTGTCCCTCACATCGGATTCCAGAACACTGCTGCTGGGGTTTGAATGTCTGTCCCTCACATAGAATTCCAGAAGACTGCCGGGAGGGTCTGAATGTTTGTCCCTCACATAGGATTCCAGAACACTGCTACAAGGTTCTGAATGTTTGTCCCTCACATAGGATTCCCGAGCACTCCTGCTGTGGTCTGAAAGTTTGTCCCTCACATAGGATTCCAGAACACTGCTACGAGGGTCTGAATGTTTGTCCTTCATATAGGATTCCAGAACACTCCTTCTGGGGTCTGAATGTTTGTCCCTCACATAGGATTGCAGAATACTCCTGCTATGGTCTTAATGCTTGTCCCTCACATAGGATTCCAGAACATTCATGTTGGGGTCTGAGTTTTAGCCCTTATCATAGGATTTCAGAACAGTGCTCTTGGGGTTTGAATGTTTCTCCTTCACATAGGATTTAAGAACACTCCTGCTGTGGTCTGAAAGTTTGTCCTTCACATAGGATTCCAGAACACTCCTGCTGTGGTTTGAATGCTTGTCCCTCACATAGGATTCCTGAGCACTGCTGCTGTGGTCTGAATGTTTTCCCCTCACATAGGATTCTAGAACACTGTTGCTGGGGTGTGAATGTTTGCCCCTAAAATAGGATTCCAGACCACTGCTGCTGGTTTCTCAATGTCTGTCCCTCAAAAAGGATTCCAGAATACTGCTACGAGGGTCTGAATGTTTGTCTCTCACTTAAGACTCCAGAACACTGTTTCGAGGGTCTAAATGTCTGTCCTTCACATAGGATTCCAGAACACTGTTAGGAGGGTCTCAATGTTTTCCCTTCACATAGCATTCCAGAACACTGCTATGAGGGTCTGAATGTTTGCCCCTCACATAGGATTCCAGAACACTGCTGCTGGGGTCTGAACGTCTGTCCCTCACATAGGATTCTAGAACACTGCTGTTGGGGTTTGAATGTCTGTCCCTCACATAGAATTCCAGAACACTGCTGCGAGTGTCTGAATGTTTGTCCCGCAGATGGGATTCTAGAACACTGCTGCAAGGGTCTAAATGTCTGTCCCTGACATAACATTTCAGCACACTGCTATGAGGTTTTGAAATGTTTGTCCCTCACATAGGATTACAGAGCACTCCTGCTGTGGTCTGAATGTTTGTCCCTCACATAGGATTCCAGAACACTGCTGCTGGGCTCTGAATGTTTGTCCCTCACATAGGATTCCAGAACACTGCTACGAGGTTCTGAATTTTTGTCCCTCATATAGGATTCCAGAACACTGCTACAAGGTTTTGAAAGTTTGTCCCTCACATAGGATTCCACAACACTACTGCTGGGGTCTGAATGTTTGTCCCTCACATAGGATTCTAGAACACTCCAGCTGGCTTCTGAGTGTTTGTCCCTCACATAGGATTCCTGAAGACTGCTGCTGTCGCTATAGTCATTGCGAGTGTCTGAATGTTTGACCTTCACCAAACACCAAATATCCTGGCCCTTTAGTCTTGAACTTTCCAGCCTCCAGCTCTGTGAGCAATAATCTCTGTTGTTTATGAATTACTCAGTCTAAAGTATTTTGTTATAGTAGCCTAAAGAGACTAAGAGAGCATCACCTGCCCTGTCACCTCATCACCGCATTACTGAAGCTATACTAACAACAGTCACTTTTAGTGGGTGCTTCATGCATGAGAATAAAGGGAAAAAATTGCAAGGCATACTAAAATCCAAAAAAAGAAAAAACTACAATTTGTGTCAACAGAGCAAGCTTCAGAAGCAGACAAAGATATGATTTTGGAATTTTTTTTACACCTCTGGAGACTATGCTAAGGACCTAACGAATGAAGTAGACAGCATTCAAGTGTAGATGGGTAATGTAATCAGAAAGACAGACATCGTAAGAACCTTCAACATAATGTAGTGATAAAAAATGTGGTAAATAACTGAAGAATACCTCTGATGGCTTATTAGTAGACTGGACTCAGCTGAGTAAAGAATCTCTGAGCTTGAGGATTTATCATCAGAAACTTCGAAAACTAAAGAAAAGAAACACTGAAAAGAACAGAAGATGATATCCAAGACTGTGGGACAACTACAAAAGGTGAAACAGAGTAATGAGAATACCAGGAGGAGAAGAAATAGAAGAAAGTTCTGCAACAACCATGTCTGAGAACTTCCAGTGTTAATGTCAGACACCAAACCAAAGATCCAGGAAGCTCTGAGAACACCAGGCAGAATAAATGCCAACAACCTACACTTGGACATATAATTTTCAAACTATATGAAATAAAAGATAAAGGAAAACTCTGAAAGAAACCAGGAGTGGGGCAGAAAACACCTTACCTACAGAGACACAAAGATAAGAACTGCATTCAACATTGCAGAAACTGTGAAAGCAAGACAGTGAAATGAAAAATTCAAAATGTTGACAGAAAAAAACCCACCAACCTAAGTTTCTGTACCCACTGAAACCACCCTTCAAAAGTGAAGGAGAATTAAGGCCTTCCTCAGAAAAATAAAAATTCAAGAAACTTGTTGCCAGGAGACCTGTCTTGCAAGAAATGTTAAATGAAATTCTTTAGAGGGAAACAAAAGATATATAACTGAAACCTGGATCAACATTTTTTTAAAAAGAGCATTAAAGAAATAATTGTGGTACAATAAAAACCTATGTATTTATTCTTAATTGATCTGACCAAGAAGTTCATAGACAATAACAAATACACACAGATAGATTATGTATGCTTATACACAAGTGAAATGAGTAACACTAATACAAGGAATGGAATGGAAGGATGGGAGGGAGGAATTGTGGTACAATAAAAACATGTATTTATTCATAATTGATCTGACCAATAAGTTTGTAGATAATAATAAATACACACAAATAGATTATGTATGCTTATACACAAGTGAAATAAGGAACAATAATACAAGGAATGGAATGGAAGGATGGGAGGGAGGAATCAGGTGTTTTCTTTGTTAAGCAGGTAGTCACCCGTTAAGTGGGATAGTGTTATTTGAAAGTGAACTTGAATTGGTTGTAAATGTTACTGAGGAATTAGGTGTTTTGTTAAGCAGGTAGTCTTATTTGTGGGATAGTGGGATAGTGTTATTTGAAAGTGGACTTGAATTTGTTGTAAATGTATATTGCAAATTCTGTGGCAACTAGTTAAAAAAAAAGTTTTAAAAAGAGAAGTACGTGCTAAGAAAGACAGGGAAAATGGAGTCATCTAAAATCATCAATGAAAACTGCAAAAGGCAGAAAAAGAGTGGTAGAAAAAAGAATGAAGACTGAGGAGAATGAATAGAAAACAGTAACAAATATAGTAGATATTAATCCAATGATATCAATAATCACTTTGAATGTTAATGGTATGAATGTACCAATTCAAAGATAGAGATTGTCAGAGTCTATCAAAAGACAGACACATCTTGTTTCACTGCACTTTGCTTTATTGTGTTTTGTGACCATGTGTTTTACATATTGAAGGTTTGTGGCCACCCTGCAATAAGCAGGTCTCACTGGCACAATTGTTCCTACAGCACGTGCTCACTTCACGTCTCTGTGTCACATTTCAGTTATTCTCACAGTATTTTAAGCTTTTTATTATTGAATCTGTTGTGGTGATCTGTAAGGAGTGATCCTTAATGCTACTGTTGTCATTGTTTTGGGAACCACAAATCACACCAGGATAAGACAGCAAACAATTGACAAATGCGTTTGTTCTGACTGCCCCACCAATGGGACATTTCTCTTTCTCTCACTTTTTCTCAGGCTTCTTTTTATTAATATTAAAATGTGGCCAATTAATAACCCTACAATAGCCTCTATATGTTCAAGCGAAAGAAGAGTTGCATGTCTGTCACTTTAAACCAAAAGGAAGAAATAATTAAGCTCAGTGAGGAAGGCATGCTGTAAGCAAGACAGGTCAGTAGCTAGAACTCATGCAACAAACACTTAGCCAAGTTGTGAATGCAAAGGAAGTGTTCTGGAAAGAAATTTAAAGTACTACTCCAGTGAACACATGAATGATAAAAAGCTAAACAATCATGCTGCTGTTATGAAGAAAGTTTAATTGGTCTAGATAGAAGATAAAAAAAAACAGAAAACATTCCATTAAGCCCAAGCCTAACTCTCTTTTTACTTATTTTTCTTTGTTTTTGAGACAGAGTTTCATTATTCTTGCCCAAGCTGGAGTGCAATGGCGTGATCTTGGCTCATCACAACCTCTGCCTCCCAATTTCAAGCCATTCTCCTGCCTCAGCATCCCGAGTAGCTGGGATTACAGGCATGCACCACCACGCCTGGCTAATTTTTTGTATTTTTAGTAGAGACGGGGTTTCTCCACGTTGGTCAGGCTGGTGTTGAACTCCCGACCTCAGGTGATCTGCCTGCCTCGGCCTCCCAAAGTGCTAGGATTACAGGTGTGACAGCCACCGCACCTGGCCTCTCTTCAATTCTATGAAGACTTAGGTGAGGCAGCTGCAGAAGAAAAGTCTGAAGCTAGAAGAGCTTGTTTCTTGAGGTTTAAGGAAAAAAGTCATCTCCATAACATAAAAGCACGAGATAAAGCAGCAAGTACTGATGGAAAAGCTGCAGAAAGCTATCTAGAAGGTAACTGATTAAGATGGCTACACTAAACAGATTTGCAATGGAGACAAAACAGCCCTCTACTAGAAGGAGATGCCATCCAGGATGTTCCCAGCTAGAGTGGAGTTGATGCCTGGATTTAAGGCTTCAAAGGACACGCTGACTCTTTTGTTAAGGCCTAATGCAGTTGGTGATGTTAACTTGAAACCAATGATGATTTACTATTCTGAAAATCCAAGGGCCCTGAAGAATTATGATAAAACACAGCTCTGCCTATACTCTACAAATGGGAACAAAGCCTGGATGACAGACTATCGGTTTACAAATATGGTTTACTGAATATCTTAAGCCCACTGTTGACACCTACTGCTCAAGAAATAAGATTCCTTTCAAAGTATTACCACTCACTGACAATGTCCCTGGACTCAAGGGCTTTTACAGAGATGTATAAAGAGCTGAATATTATTTTCATGCCTACTAACCCAACATTCATTCTGGTGCCCTTGGATCAAAGAATAATTTCAACTTTCAAGTCTTATCACTTAAAAAATATATTTCATAAAGCTATAACTTCTCTAGAAAGTGATTCCTTTGATGGATATGGGCAAAATAATTGAAAACCTACTGGAAAGGATTCACCATTCTAGATGCCATTGAGAACATTCATGATTTAAAAAAGAAGATCAAAATAGAAACATTAGGAGAAGTTGGGGCCGGGCATGGTGGCTCACACTTGTAATCCCAGCACGTTGGGAGGCCAAGGCAAGTGGATCACGAGGTCAGGAATTTGAGACCAGCCTGGCCAACATAGTGAAATCCTGTCTGTACTAAAAACACAAAAAAAAATTAGCTGGGTCTGGTCGGGGGTGACTGTAATCCCAAACACTTGGGAGGCTGAGGCAGGAGAATTGCTTGAACCCGGGAGGTGGAGGTTGCAGTGAGCTGAGATCGCATCACTGCACTCCAGCCCAGGCAAGATTTCATCTCAAAAAAAAAAAAAAAGAGAGAGAGAGAGAAGTTGGGAAGATTATTCCAACCCTCACAGATGACACAGGGGTTCACGACTTCTGTGGAGGAAGTAACTGCAGATATGGTGGAAATAACAAGAGCACTAGAATCAGAGACAGAGCCTGAATATCTGGCGAGACTGCAGCAGCCTCCAGAGAAAACGTGAGTGGATGAGTTGCTTCCATGGATGAGCAAAGAAAGTGGTTTCTTGAGATGAAATCTAATCGTGGTGAAGACAGTGTAAACAATGTTGAGATGACAACAGATTTAGAATAAACTTAGTTGGTACAGCAGAAGGAGGGCTTGACAGAATTGAACCCAACGATTTACAATAATACATAAACTTAGTTGGTACAGCAGTACGAAGGTTTGACAGCATTGAATCCAACTTTGAAAGTTCTACTGTGGGTAAAAAGCTATCAAACAACATCGTATGCTACAGATAATTCTTTTGTGAAAGGGAGAGTCAATTGACACAGCAAACTTCAATGGTGTCTTATTTTAAGAAATAGCCACAGCCACCCCAACGCTCAGCAACCACCACCTTACATTAAGGCAAGACCCTCCATCAGCAAGAAGACTGAAACTTGGCCAGGTGCAGTGGCTCACACCTGTCATCCCAACACCTTGGGAGGCCAAGGTGGGTGGATTGCTTGAGCCCAGAACATCAAAGCAACATGGCAAAACCCCATCTCTACAAAAAAAAAAATACAAAAATTAGCTGGACATGGTTGCATGCACCTGTAGTCCCAGCTAGTCAGGAGTCTGAGGTGGGGGTTTGATTGAGCATGAGGTTGAGGCTGCAATTACTCCAGCCTGAGCCACAGAGTAAAACCCTGTCACACACACACAAAAAGATTGCAGCTTTCTGAAGGCTCAGATGACTGTTAGCACATGTTAACAATAAAGTATTTGTAAATTAAAGTGTGCACACTTTGTAGACATATGCTATTGCACACTTTATACAGCACAATATAAACATACTTTTACATGCACTTGGAAACCAAAAGAGATTGTATAACTCACTTTATTGTAGTGGTCTGGAACCGAACCCAGATATATCTCTGATGCATGGCCATCCTGTATTGTACACTTAAAAAAAAAACTTAAGAGGGTATATTTTAGGTGAAATGGTCATCTCATTTTTTTTTTGAGACAGATTCTCACTCTGTTGCCCAGGCTGGAGTGCAGTGGCACGATCTAGGCTCACTGCAAGCTCTGCCTCCCGAGTTCACACCATTATCCTGCCTCTGTCTCCCGAGTAGCTGGGACTACAGGTGCCCGCCATCATGCCCGGCTAATTTTCTGTATTTTTAGTAGAAACGGGGTTTCACTGTGTTAGCCAGGATGGTCTTGATCTCCTGACCTCGTGATCCACCTGCCTTGGCCTCCCAAAGTGCTGGGATTACAGGCGTGAGCCACCACTCCCGGTCTCATTTTTTAAAAAGGGTGAGAATGAGAAATATATGGGGAGTGATGGTCAAGTTTACGGCATTATTTGTTGTGATGAGACCTGGGGCGAATACTTATCTCTATACTCATTAAGATGTATATATTCGGTGTCACACACCTGTAATCCCAGCACTTTGGGAGGCCGAGGCAGGTGGATCATCTGAGGTCAGGAGCTCGAGACCAGCCTGGCCAACATGATGAAATCCTGTCTCTACTAAAAAAATACAATAATTAGCCGGGCATGGGGGCGCACGCCTGTGATCCCAGCTACTCAGGAGGCTGAGGCAGGAGAATTGTTTGAACCCGGGAGGCGGAGGTTGCAGCTAGCTGAGATCGTGTCACTGCACTCCAGCCTGGGCAACAAAAGTAAAACCTCCGTAACACACACACACACACACACACACACACACACAACACACACACACACAAGCTATATATTAAATATGTATAATTTTTGTATGTCAACCACACCTTAGTTTTATTTTATTTTTTTTTTTTGAGACAGAGTCTCGCTCTGTCACCCAGGCTGGAGTCTAGTGGCGCAATCTCGGCTCACTGCAAGCTCCACCTCCCAGGTGCACACCATTCTCCTGCCTCAACCTCCTGAGTAGCTGGAACTACAGGTACCCGCCACCACGCCCAGCTAATTTTTTGTATTTTTAGTAGAGATGGCGTTTCACCGTGTTAGCCGGGATGGTATCGATCTCCTGACGTGATCTGCCTGCCTCAGCTTCCCAAAGTGCTGCGATTATAGTTGTGAGCCACCGCGCCCAGACAATTTTTATTTTTTTGAGACAGAGTCTCACTCTGTCACCCAGACTGGAGTGCAGTGGCACTATCTTGGCTCACTGCAACCTCTGCCTCCCATGTTCAAGCAATTCTCCTGCCTCAGTCTCCCGAGTAGCTGGGAATACAGATGCATGCTATCATGCCTGGCTAATTTTTTGATTTTTAATAGAGATGAGGTTTCACCATGTTGGCCAGGCTGGTCTCAAACTCCTGACCTCATGTGATCTGCCCACCTCAGCCTCCCAAAGTGCTGGGATTACAGGTGTAAGCCACTGCACCCGGCAATTTTTAAATATATATAATTAAAAATTAATAAAAAACAGGTATTTGCAAGTTTCCGTTTTGTTATATGCTTATTATTCTTTATCTTTATTTCAGGTTCCTGTGTCAATACACTTAGGAGATCATAGTTTCTAAATTGAAATACAAATAAATATGTCTGAAATTTTTCTTTTTTCTTTTTTTTTGAGACGGACTCTCATTCTGTCACCCAGGCTGGAGTGCAGTGGTGCAATCTCAGCTCACTGCAACCTCCGCCTCCCAGATTCAGGTGATTCTCCTGCCTCATCCTCCAGAGTAGCTGGGATTACAGGTACCCACCACAACACCCAGCTAACTTTTATATATTTTTTTTCTATTTTTAGTAAAGACAGGGTTTCACCATGTTGGCCAGGCTGGTCTCCAACTCCTGACCTCAGATGATCCTCCCGCCTCGGCCTCCTCAAGTGCTGGGATTACAGGTGTGAGACACTGTGCCTGGCCTGGAATTTTTTTCTAAAATTTACATTTCTGAGTTAAGAATGCTTAAAATATTATAAAAACAGAAGCACAATTCATTATGGGTTTCATTAATTACCTTTATTAAAAACAACACAATTATATTGCAATAGGACAAAAAATGTTTAAGCAAATGAAAACCATGACATACCCAAACTCAGGAGGAGGCAACAAAGACAGTGCTAAAGGGAAGCTTACAGCTGCAGATGCTTAAATTAAAAATAAGAAAGATCTCAAACCCATGCTAAAGGGAAGCTTATAGCTGCAGGTGCTTAAATTAAAAAGAAGAAAGATCTCAAATCAATAACCTAACATTACACCTGAAGGGGGGGAAAAAAAAAAAACTAATGACAAACCAAGCAAAAGGAAGAAAATAACAGATTAGAGCAGAGATAAGCAGAATAAGACCAGAAAAAAAGGAAAAAAAACACTGAGTTTGTTTTTTTAAAGATCAATAAAAATTTTAAAACTCACAGCTATATTAAGAAAAAAAGAGAAATCTCAAATGCTAAAATCTTAAATAAAAGAGGTGACAGTACAACAGATGTCACAAAAATGAAAAAGATTACAAGAGACTAATGTGAGCAACCATATGCCACAAAACTGGGCAACCTAGAATAAATTTATAAATTCCTAGAAACACAAACCTCCATACTGCATCAGGGAGAAATAAAAAATCCAAAGAGACCTGTAACTAGTAAGAAGATTCAACCAGTAATCAAAAACCCCCCAAAAAAGAAAATTCCAGGTCCAGATAACTTCACTGGAAAAATTTACCAAACATTTCAAGAAGAATTAATGCCAATCCTCTGCAAAATATTCCAAAAATGTTCAAAAACCAGAAGGGGACATTCCAATCCATTCTATCAGGTCAACGTTTATCTGGTTCCAGAGCCAGATGAACACCTTTTGTAATAAAAACACTCAAAGAATTAGTAATATATGGAAACTCCTCAATAAATAAAGATTATACATGAAAGGCTCACAGCTAACATCATACTCAATGGTGAAAAACTAAAATATTTTCCTCTAGGATCAGGAATAAGATAGCAACATCTCTTCCTGCCACTTCTATTCATCACAGTACTGGAATTTCTACTCAGAATAATTAGGCAAGAGAAAGTAATAAAAAGGATGCAAATTGGAAAGGAAAAAGTACAAAATTTTGTTCACAGACAACAGGATGTAATGTGTAAAAATCCTGAAATTCCACAAAATACTGGTAGAATAATGAAATTCAACAAAGTTTCAGGATACAGTAACACACACAAGTCAGTTGCATTTCTATAAACTAACAATGAACAATCTGCAAATAAAATTTTAAAAAGAGGCCAGGTGCAGTGGCTCACACTTGTAATCCCAGCACTTTGGGAGGCCAAGGTGGGTGGACCACCTGAGGTCAGGAGTTCGTGACCAGCTGGGCCAACCTCATCTCTAATATAAATAGTAAAACTCTATCTCTATTAAAAATACAAAAATTAGCTGGGCGTAGTGGCAGACACCTGTAGTCACAGCTACTTGGGAGGCTGAGGCAGGAGAATTGCTTGAACTTGGAAGGTGGAGGTGGCAGTCAGCTGAGATTGTGCCACTGCACTCCAGCTTAGGAAACAGAGTGAGATGCGGTCTCAAAAAAAAAGAAAGAAAGGAAAGAAAGAGAGAGGAAGAAAAGAAAAGAAAAGAAAAGAGAAAACAAAAGAAAAGAAATTTTTAAAAAGAATGATATTTGGCCAGGTGCGGTGGTTCATGCCTGCAATCCCAGCAGTTTGGGAGGCCAAAGTGGGCAGATCACCTGAGGTCACAAGTTCAAGACTAGCCTGGTCAACATGGAGAAACCCTGTCTCTACTAAAAATATCAAAAAATTAGCTGGGCATGGTGGCGCGCACCTGTGATCCCAGGTACTTGAGAGGCTGAGGTTGGAGAATCGCTTGAATAGGGAAGGTGCAGGTTGCAGTGACCTGAGATAGTGCCACTGCACTCCAGCCTGGGAGACAGAGCAAGACTCCATCTCAAAAAAAAAAGAATTACATTTACAACAACATTATGAAAATTAGAAATAAGCTTAACCAAGAGGGCAAAAGATTTGAACACAGAAAACTACAAAACACTGTTAAAAGAAATTAAACACAAATAAATGAAAAGAAAAGCTGGGTTTACAGATTAAATGATTTCATCTTGGAATGATGTCAACACTACTCGAAGTGACCTAGATTCAATACAATCCTTATAAAGATTCCAATGACATTTTTGATAAACAGAAAATCCTATCCTAAAATTCATATGGAATCTATGGGGCCCATGAATAGGCAAATAAATCTTAAAACAGAACAAAATTAAAGGTCTCAAAACAATTACAAAACTGCAATAAGCCAAAAAAAAATATGTGGTCATGGCAAAAAGACACTCTTGACACACTTATGGACCAACACAACGGAGACCTCAGAAACCAACCATGGCATATATGGTCCAATGATCTCCCACAAGGATGCCAAGACCACTCAATGGCGAAGGACACTTTCTTCAACAAATGGTGTTGGGAAAATTGTATATCTACATGCAAAACAATGAAGTTGGACTCTTACCTTACACCATGTTAAAATTAATTCAAAGTGAATTATAAACCTAAATGTAAAACTAGAACTATCAAACTCCTAGGGAAAACAAATTTGGAAAATGCCTTATGACGTTGAATTTGTCAATAATTTTTAGGATATGACATTAAAATCTCAGGCAGTAAAAGCAAAAATATATCAAACCTAAAAACTTCTGTTCCTCAAAGGTCACAACCAACAGGGTAAAAGGCAAACTGTAGAATAAAAGAAAATACCAGTTCAGTGTCCCTTATTTGAAATGCTTGGGATGTGTTTCAGATTTTGTAATATTTGCATTATTCTTACTGGTTGAACATCTCGAATTCAAACACCCGAGTCTGAGATGCTCCAATAAGCATTTCCTTTGAGTGTCATGTTGGCACTCAAAAAGTTTCAGACTTTGGAGCATTTGGGATTTCAGATTTTTGGATCAGAGACATTCAACCTATAGTAGCTCATCATGTATCTCATAAGAAGTGAACATTCAGAATACGTAAAGAACTCCTACAGAGAGACTACCAGAAGCAGAGAGGAGCAAACACATTTTCACACTAGGGCACCTCCTATCTCTCCTGGATTCTAATTAGGGCAGAGTAAGTGCTAGTTCTCTGCCAACCCAGGATTAGGCCCTGCAGCTGCAGTGAAAATAATCACAGAAGAAAACTAAGAAATAAAAAATGGAGAAAGTGAGACATCAAACTAGAATTACTAGAAACCCCCAGGAAGAAGGAAAAAAAAAAAACCCAAGAAAACAGAAAAACAATCAAACGAGTTAATTAAACCTTGTGGTGCGACCCGAAGATCAGGGTTTCCTAAAGGAGTGGAAATTTATTGACTTGAAGAGTATTTATTGATTACTGATTTGAAGAGGAAGAAAAACCATGAATGGTCTAAAGCAAAAGCCTAGTGTCTGAAGAAGTCAGTAGGGTGAAAATAAGAGCTGGCCAGAATGTCCACAGATGGTGACAAGTTTGCAAAGCCTTTACTAGACTACTTGTGAGGTTAACTAGAGGCCAAGGAGCCAATACTGCCCCTGTCCTTACAGAGAGACCCTACACAGGATTCCCAGATATACATGGAAGGACAACATCTTATCAGCTCCTCTCTGTGCAGATGTGGTTATCATTCCAAATAATGAGCTCCAGCCCCAAGACCGTTCCATCCTCAATTGCTTTGAGTGGGCAATGTAGGCTCTCCACACACGAGCTACATGTAGGTTCCTTGGGTACCCAGATGGGAGCCGTGAAACACAAACCCTCCATGGTCAGGTCCGTATCTGTTTCCTGCCTTTTTCCCAGCAATCCCCAGGCCTCAGCAGCAGTGGTCTACGTCTGCTGATTCTCATTCAGAATCTAAACTTAGAAACAATTATAACCTAGACCCCAATTCTACCTGAAAGTAACAGAATAACATAATCTATACCCTGCAGCATGACTGTTTGCCCAACGTAATGAGGATGAACTGAGAGATAATGAATGATCATGACCCTGGCCCAAGTAACAAGAATGAACTGTGAAATAAATGAATGGTCATGACCAAAAAACCCCGCTACAACACAACAACAAAATAAAGTGATTAAAAAATGGACAAAGAACATTTATCCAAAGATGCAAAGATGATATAAAAATAGCCAACAGATACATGAGATATATGAGAAGATGTGTAACATCACTAGTCATTAGAGAAATGCAAATAGAAACCACAATGGGACATCACTTCAAACCCAACAGAAAGTAACAAGTGCAGATGAAACTGAAACCCTTGAACACTGTTGGTGGAAATATGAACTGGCTCCTCAAAAAAATAAAATACAATGACCATATGATCCAGCCATCCAACTTCTACAGAGACAAAATAACTAGTAGCAGGACCTCAAACAGATATGTGCACACCTATGTGTTCACAGGAGCATTACACAGCCACAAGGTGGAAGATACCAAAACGTCCATCCGGGAATAGATGGATAAACAAAAGGAGATATATATATATAGATAGAGAAAAAAAATATATATATATATGAAGAAATATTATTCAGCCATAGAAAGGAAGAAAATCCTGACACATCTGACACATAACATGGAACCTACTTACAAAACAACAAATATTATATAACCCTAGGTATATAAGCCAAATTTTTAGAAACACAAAGTAGAATAGTACTTGCCAGGAGGTGGAAGGAAGAGGAAATAAATAGTTGTTGAATGGGTATAGAGTTTTCCAAGATAAAAAAAAAAATCTAGAAATCTGCTACACAACACTGCAAATATTCTTAACTCTACAAAACTCTATACTTACAACTGGTTATGATGGTAAATTTTAAGGTATGTGTTTGTTACCAAAATTCGAAATAATAAATTATTTATAAAAAATGATCTTTTTGACACAGGTTCTTACTCTGTTGCCCTGGCAGGAGTGCAATGGCATGATCACAGCTCATTGCAGCCTCAACCTCCCAGGCTCAAGCAATCCTCCCACCTCAGCCTCCCAAATAGTTGGGACTACCGGTGCACATCAAGATGTCAGTCTAAATTTTGGTTTGGTTTTTTTGTAGAGAGGGTTTTGCCATGTTGCCCAGGCTGGTCTCAAACTCCTGGGCTCAAGCAATCCACCTCCCTTGGACTCCCACAGAGCTGAGATTACGAGCATAAGCCAACATGCCCAGCCTATAAAAAATTATTTCAAAAAGCCAAAAGATTAATCAAACTGGAATATTTAGAAATATTTAACCCAAAAGAAGTTAGGAAAGAATATATAGAAGATCAAAAGACAGATGAAGGCCAGGCATGGTGGCTCATGCCTGTAATCTGAACACTTTGGGAGGCCATGGTTGTTAGATTGCTTGAGCTCAGGAGTTCAAGACCAGCCTGTGCAACATGGCAAAACCCTATCTCTACAAAAAATATAAAAATTAACCAGGTGTGGTGCCATGCACGTGTAGTCCCAGCTACTCAGGGGGCTCAAGTGAGGATTGGTTGGGCCTGGGAGGCAGAGTTTGCAGTGAGCCAAGATTGCACTACTGCACTACAGTCTGGGTGACAGAGCAAGACCCTGTCTTAAAAAAAAATAAAAAAAAATAGAAAATAAGTAGAAAAATGGCAGACCTAAATCCAACCTTAGCAATGATTAGTTACAATGTAACTGGACAAATACTCTACTTAAGACAGAGACTGCCAGACCTGAGAGGAAGGCAAGACCCAAAAATATGGCATCCACAGAGACACAATTTAAACACAAAGATACAAAGTATGAGAAAAAATATGCTATGCAGACACTAATCGTAAAAATATGCTATTCAGACACTAATCATAAAAAGCTTCAACAGAGATGTTAACACTAGATGAAAGAGGCTTCAGAACAAAATATATCACCAGAAATAAACAGGGTAATTTAATAAAAATAAAAGAATCAGAGACGATGATGTTACAATTATAAATTGTGCCTCAAAGTGCATACAAAGTACACACACACACACACAGAGCCTCAACGTATGTGAATCAAAAACAACAGAACAAAAGCAGGAAATTGACAATCCAAAATTATAGCTGGTGAATTAATACTGCTCTCTCAGTAACTGATGGAACAACCAGATAAAAATATAGGAAAAATACGGATCTAAATGACAAAATCCTGACCCAAATGGTACTTGGCAGTACCAAGATAGACTCTATGTCGATCGATTGAGAAAAGGTTCAAGCCTGAAATAGTATACAAAGTATGTTGTCTGAACACTTGAAATTAAATTAGAAACCAACAACAAATTGATATCCAGAAAAGCCTCAAATGTCTGAAAACCAAGTAATAAACTTTGAAATATCCTGTGAGTCAAAAAAGTATTCACAAGGGGAACTGGAATGTATTTGGAACAAACTTGTTATAAAAAGCTCATTTCTGGTAGACTAAAGGTGACAAATTCTTTCCTGCTCCTGTCTCTGTGAGAACCAATTCCCCTTAAACCTTGCCCAGACTACTGACTTGTTTGGCCAACAGAAGGTGACAAAGGTGGTATTTGGGGACTTCAGAAGCCAGGCTGAGAAAACAGAACACTTATCCAGGAGAAAGCCAGTCACCAGGCAGGAAATCCCACTCCCCTGAGACCTCATGATGGAAACCACATGGCCAGTCCATGACTAGCTACACGCATTGACATCCCCCACTGAGCCTCCAGCAACACCGACTCCCAACAACTAGTGAGCCTCCAGCAACATCCACTCCCAACCACTAGTGGGCCACCCTGCACACCACCCCACTGTGCTTTCACACAATCCAGCTTGGCTGCAAATGTGTGTGAGATGAGCTGGCCACCAAGACTCTCTAAGCCAAACAACAAGTAATAATGAGTTGTTTTAAGCTGCCAACTTTTGGGGATGGTTTCTTCAGAACAGATAACTGGAACAGAATATGGCAGCTGGAAATGAGCTGCTGTGGTAATCAGAAGCTACAATATGTGCCACGACTGTGAGGCTGACCTGTAACTGGGTCTCAAGGAGACCATTCATGCAACCTGGAAAGGCATCAAGACTCTTGGTCAGGGCCTGAAGGACGGTGAGAAAATGTCATTGGAAACTGGAGAAAAGGCCTGAGAGTTACGTGTTGAGGGACTGTGGGAAAACTACGACCACAACATGGAAACTGAAAGGGCACTGCATCATCTCAGGGATCTGCCTAAGGAGACATCTGGGAAGAACATGGAAAGTGCTACCAGCCTCCCCTAACTGTCACTGAATAAATATGACAGGAGAGGGACATGATCTAAAGAAGGAGGTTCAGTTTTCAAACAGAATTTAGAGAAAATATAAAGAAATAATTTCTTGTCTCAAAAGGCCAAAGTAAAAAAAAAAAAAAAGAAAAGAAAAGAAAAGGAAAAAAAAATGAAAAAGAAGCCATTGAATACCCTATTGACCATAAGAAAAAGGCAGGGAAAGTTGGTCAACAGCAACCCAGGCACTGAAGGAAAAAGAACATGGAGAATGACAAAAGCCCAGAGGGAGGAGTAAAAGGACACAAACACCATTCTCAGGGACCGGGACTGGGCGCCGTTCTCAGGGACCAGGACTGGGCACTAATCACAGAACTGTAACAGGCGCCCCATGGGAATGACCAACTGTTAAACGGGGCCTGCAGGGCAGCACCTCCCTCCTGCCTCCCACCAACAGCTTCTAAAGGGAAATGTCGACTGTTTTCACAGCAGTCCCCTCACTGTGGCTGTGTGTGTCGGGCGCAGATGACAGGCCACCACAACCTGATTCAGTCCCCACTGTGGCTGTGTGTGGGGGGTCAGATGACAGGCTACCACAACCTGATTCAGTCCCCACTGTGGCTGTGTGTCGGGGGTCAAATGACAGGCCACCACAACCTGATTCAGTCCTCACTGTGTCTGTGTGTGTGGGTGCAGATGACAGGCCACCACAACCTGATTCAGGATTCAGTTGGGCTACCAGCCAGTGCCATAAGGAAAACCATTCTGGGGCTCTTGAGAGGGGCAAAGCATAATTTCCATGTGGGAGAAACGTTAATAGTTTGTGGCCAGAGGACAAGCTGTGGTTTATGAAAGACTGCTGCAGGTTCCTACTATGCTCCTCATCAAGAGGTGGAATCTAATCACCTTCCCACCTTGAATCATGGCTGATCTCAGTGATGAGTACGACTGGACAGTGTGGCAGGAGAGATGCTCTGGGACTTCTGAGGGATGATCATGAGAGACCTTACAGCTTCTGCCTGGGCCTCTTGGACACACACCCTGGGAGAAGCCAGACAAACCTGACTACCTGACTGCCAGACTGGGAGGAAGTCCGTGCTGGCCACAAAGAGAGGGCTGGGTGCCTGCTCCATGTCCCCAGCCACTAGAGTCCTTCTGGGTGCCTGCTTCACGTCCCCAGCCACTAGAGTCCTTACAGATGAGACCAGGGAGATCATGAAGCAACAAACCCACACCACCCTGTCCAGTGTCTTGACCAAGAAAATTGTGACATGTAAAAAGAATAAATTCCTGGTTTAAGCCAGTAAGGTTACTGGTACATTGTTACATCTCAGATAATTAAAACCTTGAAAAACTCATGAGAGATCACAAGTAGAACCTTGATCTGAAACATGGCATGTGGCGATTTATATTGAGTATTAGGTTAAAAATGCAAGAAAGGAGCATAGTTAATATTTTACATTAAAGCTAAAACTATAATTGCCTACTTAATATTTTCAGTAATTAGGTTGTCACTTTTTGTTCTTAACCAAGAAATCAATTAGTTTTAGTCCATAAACAGTTAGAACTGATATACACATCCGTTTTTCCTTACTCATTTTAAACAGCTATCTGAAATAGGAAGCGTAATATAATCTTTAAAGAATCTGAAAACATGACAGAAATGTTTAAACTATAAACATATATTGTATATGTTAGCATATTGTATACATTGCATATTAACATAAGCTAGAATCATTGACATAAATTTATATAGACAAAAGGTAGAAAATATGACAATGTTCTTCTTGTTTTCTGTCTTTGCATATTTCTTTATTGGCGCTTGTCAAACGTGACCCACTAACTCCTGAATGCTTTCTCTCTCCCCATGGATTCCTAAGGATGTCACCACAGTTTTGGCCAGATGTACAGGTCACAGGGGACTGAATCTCATCACCCCACAAACATACCATTCAGGTTTTGCCAAGAATGACACTGTAAATATAACAAAGCTTTCGTGCTTGTTAGTGAACACCAACTCAGCTCCTCTACTGTATTCAGAAATCAGGATGAGATGAAAACAACGAGCAGGCCAGGCACGGTGGCTCACGCCTGTAATCCCAGCACTTTGGGAGGCTGAGGCGGGTGGATCACCTGAGGTCAGGAGTTCGAGACCACCCTGATCAAAACATAGAAACCCCATCTCTACTAAAAATACAATATTAGCCGGGCGTGGTGGCAAATGCCTGTAATACCAGCTACTCAGGAGCTGAGGCAGGAGAATTGCTTGAACCCGGGAGGTGGAGGCTGCAGTGAGCCGAGATCACACCACTGCGCTCTAGCCTGGGCAACAAGAGCGAACCTCTGTCTCAAAAGAAAAAAAATTAAAAATAAAAGAACAAGGAAACAAAAGTAACAAAGCTTGACACCAGATGAGCCTGAATCTAACCAAGAAAAGCCCAGAAGAAATCCCATTTTGGGTCACTGGCTGCATGGTAGTAATACCAAATACATAAGGGAAGAGAGGAGGAGGTGGCTTTCACTTTGAATTTTTTGAGCTTAAGGTAACTTTTGTGTAGCTACAAAGAAGCATTCAACAGAGAGTTAAACTTATGATGGAAAGACTGAAGGGGTCCAAGCTGTAGAGAAACAGGACTGCAAACCACAAAGGGCTGAATCAGTCAAGGAGAACTGCAGGGCGGGATGAACAGGGACCAACGGAACATTTGGATAAGCTGTTGAGAAGAAAGGAGAATTCAGAGAAAAAGAACTGTCAGTGAGGTCATAATAGGAACTGTTACAGTGAACTAAATATGGCCTGGGAAGGACTCTGTACTTCTAGATTTGAGTCCCTGTGGACAAACTGCAACCTAACTTAATAGGTAGAAAGACTGAAAACCTAACTTAGGAGTATGCGCCTGTAACTATAGCTGAGTCCTGACCAATCCCAACAGCCAAACTTCTGCCACTCACACACTGCTGAGTGTTCAGCTGTGTTCAAATAAGGCAAATGCTGAGCACTGTAACCAGTCCAGTTGTTTCTGGACCTCACTGCTGAGAACTGTAACAGACTCAGGTGCTTCTGGACCTCACTCCTCACTTCAGACTTCTGTACATCACGTTCCCTTTATTGTCTATAAATCTTCCACCATGTAGCTGTGCTGGAGTCTCACCAAATCTGCTGTGATTCTGGGGGCTGCCTGATTCGTGAATCATTCATTGCTCAATTAAGTTCCTTTAAATTTAATTCAGCTGAAGATTTTCTTTTAATAGATGGTATCAGAAGTGGGATCTGTGGTAGCAGGACTGCTAGGGCCTCCGGAGTTATAGTGTGGTGAGCAGTGTTGCTAGGGCTTCTAATGACCCCCAGGAGTGCTGAGGTACAAGAAAGGCACCTGCAAGGACTGCTCTGTGATGGCAGCAGTGGCCCACGTGGATAAGTTGCTACGGAGACACTGGCTGCTGTGGGGAGGAGTGGCTGGGGCTGTGCGCTCCTCGAAGCTGGTGGGAGCCAGGAACGGGGGGGAGCCCCACCCCTTCTAAATTGGTAGGCAGGAGCCCCGCCCTCCCAGGCACAGCTGCAGACATCCAGCCATGACTGCAAACCCGGGCATCTTTGCACTCTCAGAGACCCAGCAAGCCCCCCTGCCCCCGCAGGCTCAGTTGTACCTGGTCCCACCACCTGGCGTCTCCGCTCCCAGAGCCCACTCCAACTTCGGATCCAAGTTGAGGCTGAACCCGGGTACAGTCGCAACCCAGCCCAGTTTGTGCAAGCTCAGGGCAGTGCTGACATGCCAGCCCCCTGCCACCTCAGCCCCCTCCAGACTTTGGGCACTGACGAGCACAGGAGGGAGGTTGAGGTGGGGCTAAGGGTGGCTCAGCACTGGCCTGAAGGCACTCCTCAGCTCGAACAGCCTGGGCATCGTGTGCACAGCTAACCACCGTGCATCTCTCTCAGCTGCTGAGAGCTGAACAGACGTTGGGATGACCTGCCTGCAGAAAGGAGCTACCCACTGCAGGTCTCCTCTGAGCTGTACTGTTGCTCAATAAAGCACCTCTTCACCTTGCTCACCTTCTACTTGCCCACATACCTCATTCTTCCTGGACTCAGGACAAGAACTCGGGACCTGCCAACTAGCAGGGCTGAAAGAGTTGCAACATAAACAGGGCTGAAACGCACCCCTTGCTTGCCAAATTGCAGGCAAGAAGAAGAGAAGAGAGAAGGAGAGAAGAGCTGTGGCCCTTCAGGGAGCCCAGACCTAGGAGCTCCCCAAGCCAGGGCTGTGACACCTTCTTTGGGGCTCTGTAGTTCCTGCATCTCTAAGCTTCTGGGCACCACTGCATTCCCTGATACCCACAGTGGAAGCTGTTTGCAGTCGGCCTGGTCCAGCTGCAGCCTCACAGGGAGCTGGCACCTGTGCCGGTGCCTGGAGCTGCCCACACCACTGCAGCTGGCATGCTTGGCTGTGTGCAGTGGCCAGATCCCATGCTCGCTTGCTCACACACCCTTCACTGCTCTGTACCCAGCTCACCCTTGGCAGGTGTGGGATCCAGACCACTAGCATGAGCCGAGTGGACAGAACGAACCCAGTGGGCTCGAGCAAAACACAGGTAAATGTGCCACCAGCCAGAGGTTTCAGGCAGAAAATTGATGCCTCAGGATTCTGTAACACTTGTGCCCTTTGACCTCTCAGAGCAGCTGGGTATCGTGGTAAATTCTCTCTCGGATTTCAGAGCTCCATGGATTTGTGTTTTGAGCTCTGAGTTTCTTTGAGCAAATTTCTGTTCCAAACTGCTATCCGGCCATGACTGGCTGGATGTTTTAGAAGTTATGACAGAAACGGGACCGGGTCCAGGATCAGATTTGATCCAGTAGTTAACTGGCTTGAATCCAGTTCCAGTTAGAGGCCTCCTACATCTGAATGGGTCAGAAGGAAAGTGGTAGCAAATGATAATATTGGAGGGTTGTAAAATTTGGCTTTTCAAAATTCACAGGGATTTTTGTGTTCTACCCCTTTGTTTCATTTTCCTCGCATGCTTAGGTAGGAAAAAAAAATCATTGGCTAAGTCAATCAAGGGAACCTGGGAGTAAAGCCAATATATTAGGTAAAAATAGGATCCTTAATTTCTGGAAAACTAAGTTCCTTCTGGCTAATTCATTAGGCCTGGGAAGCAGCAAAGTCTTACAGAAATGGCAAAATCTTACTAAAGATAACTTACAGTGGAACATTCCAAATGAATAATGCCCTGAAGTGCATTTAAAAATGAGGGCTCCCAAATTAGTCTCACTTAGGGATGCCTATTAATATGCAGAAGCTTCTAAAAAGATTTAGAGATGGCACGGCCTATCTGGGAGCAAGTTTGAGTCTTACCAGTTTGACACTGTGTGCTAAGCAAAGTGGCTCGTGTCTATGTTTTGTCACATGTATTTTGCTCTGAGCAGAATGAAAAATGTTAATTTGGTTACTCCAAGCAACCCCTTGGGCAGCATCTTGCAAAGCTGAGTGGATTCTTCCTGTGGCTCCATGATTTCCATTGTGATGCAGCTTGGCCCCCAGAGCTATAATGTGGTGAGGAGGGTGACAGAGCAAGACGCTATCTTTAAAAAAAACATGGCCAGGGGCAGTGGCTCACGCCTGTAATCCCAACACTTGGGGAGGCCGAGACAGGTGGATCACCTGAGGTCAGGAGTTCAGGGCCAGCCAGACCAACAAGGAAAAACCCTGTCTCTACTAAAAACACAAAATTAGCTGGGCATGGTGGGGCATGCCTCTAATCCCAGCTACTCAGGAGGCTGGGGCGGGAGAATCGCTTGAACCTGGGAGGCAGGGGATTGCAGTAAACCAAGATCGCACCATTGCACTCCAGCCTGGGCAACGAGAGGTAAAATCCATCTCAAAAAAAAAAAAAAAGAATAATAGATTTGCCTATAAGGTTTTATGAAAAAGTGGGTGACATTTGGCTTTCTCTCTTTAAAGAACATTTTCAGAAAATATTAAAAAATAATGGGAGGAGGAGCCAAGATGGCCGAATAGGAACAGCTCCACTCTACAGCTCCCAGCATGAACGACGCAGAAGATGGGTGATTTCTGCATTTCCATTTGAGGTACTGGGTTCATCTCACTAGGGAGTGCCAGACAGTGGGTGCAGGACAGTGGGTGAAGTGCACTGTGCACTAGCCGAAGCAGGGCAAGGCATTGCCTCACTCGGGAAGCACAAAAGGTCAGGGAGTTAGTTCCCTTTCCTGGTCAAGGAAAGGGGTGAGAGATGGCACCTGGAAAATTGGGCCACTCCCACCCTAATACTGTGCTTTTCTGATGGGCTTAGGAAACGGCGCACCAGGAGATTACATCCTGCACCTGGCTCGGAGGGTCCTACGCCCATGGGATCTCGCTAATTGCTAACACAGCAGTCTGAGATCAAACTGCAAGGCGGCAGCGAGGCTGGGGGAAGGGCACCGGCCATTGCCCAGGCTCTCTTAGGTAAACAAAGCAGCCAGGAAGCTCAAACTGGGTGGAGCCCACCACAGCTCAAGGAGGCCTGCCTGCCTCTGCAGGCTTCACCTCTGGGGGCAGGGCACAGACAAACAAAAAGACAGCAGTAACCTCTGCAGACTTAAATGTCCCTGTCTGACAGATTTGAGGAGAGCAGTGGATCTCTCAGCACGCAGCTGGAGATCTGAGAATGGGCAGACTGCCTCCTCAAGTGGGTCCCAGACCCCTGACCCCTGAGCAGCCTAACTGGGAGGAACCCCCCAGTAGGGGCAGACTGACACCTCACACGACCGGGTACTCCTCTGAGACAAAACTTCCAGAGGAACGATCAGACAGCAGCATTCGCAGATCACGAAAATCCATGGTTTTGCAGACACCACTGCTGATACCCAGGCAAACAGAGTCTGGAATGGGTCTCTAGCAAACTCCAACAGACCTTAAGCTGAGGGTACTGTCTGTTAGAAGGAAAACTAACAAACAGAAAGGACATCCACACCAAAAACCCATCTGTACATCACCATCATCAAAGGCCAAAAGTAGATAAAACCACAAAGATGGGGTGAAAACAGAGCAGAAAAGCTGGAAACTCTAAAAAGCAGAAAACCTCTCCTCCTCCAAAGGAATGCAGTTCCTCACCAGCAATGGAACAAAGCTGGACAGAGAATGACTTTGACGAGCTGAGAGAAGAAGGCTTCCAACGATCAAACTACTCCGAGCTACAGGGAAAAATTCAAACCAAAGGCAAAGAAGTTGAAAACTTTGAAAAAACTTTAGACGAATGTATAACTAGAATAACCAATATAGAGAAGTGCTTAAAGGAGCTGATGGAGCTGAAAGCCAAGGCTGGAGAACTACATGAAGAATGCAGAAGCCTCAGGAGCTGATGCGATCAACTGAAGAAAGGGTATCAGTGATGGAAGATGAAATGAATGAAATGAAGTGAGAAGGGAAGTTTAGAGAAAAAAGAATAAAAAGAAATGAACAAAGCCTCCAAGAAATATGTGACTATGTGAAAAGACCAAATCTATGTCACATTCATGTACCTGAAAGTGACAGGGAGAATGGAACCAAGTTGGAAAACACTCTGCAGGATATTATCCAAGAGAACTTCCCCAATCTAGCAAAGCAGGGCAACATTCAGATTCAGGAAATACAGAGAACGCCACAAAGATACTCCTCGAGAACAGCAACTCCAAGACACATCATTGTCAGATTCACCAAAGTTGAAATGAAGGAAAAAATGTTAAGGGCAGCCAGAGAGAAAGGTCGGGTTACCCACAAAGGGAAGCCCATCAGACTAACTGCTGATCTCTCGGCAGAAACTCTACAAGCCAGAAGAGAGTGGGGGCCAATATTCAACATTTTTAAAGAAAAGAATTTTCAACCCAGAATTTCATATCCAGCCAAACTAAGCTTCATAAGTGAAGGAGAAATAAAATACTTTACAGACAACCAAATGCTGAGAGATTTTGTCATCACCAGGCCTGTCCTAAAAGAGCTCCTGAAGGAAGCACTAAACATGCAAAGGCACAATCGGTACAAACCACTGCAAAAACATGACAAATTGTAAAGACCATCAAGACTAGGAAGAAACTGCATCAACTAACGAGCAAAATAACCAGCTAACATCATAATGACAGGATCAAATTCACACATAACAATATTAACTTTAAATGTAAATGGACTAAATGCTCCAATTAAAAGACACACACTGGCTAATTGGATAAAGAGTCAAGACCCATCAGTGTGCTGTATTCAGGAAACCCATGTCACGTGCAGAGACACACATAGGCTCAAAATAAAAGGATGGAGAAAGATCTACCAAGCAAATGGAAAACAAAAAAAGGCAGGGGTTGCAATCCTAGACTCTGATGAAACAGACTTTAAACCAACAAACATCAAAAGAGACAAAGAAGACCATTACATAATGGTAAAGGGATCAATTCAACAAGAAGAGCTAACTATCCTAAATATATATGCACCCAATACAGGAGCACCCAGATTCATAAAGCCAGTCCTGAGTGACCTACAAAGAGACTTAGACTCCCACACAATAATAATGGGAGACTTTAACACCCCACTGCCAACATTAGACAGATCAATGAGACAGAAAGTTCACAAGGATACCAAGGAATTGAACTCAGCTCTGCACCAAGCGGACCTAATAGACATCTACAGAACTCTCCACCCCAAATCAACAGAATATACCTTTTTTTCAGCACCACACCACACCTATTCCAAAATTGACCACATACTTGGAAGTAAAGACCTCTTCAGCAAAAGTAAAAGAACAGAAATTATAACAAACTGTCTCTCAGACCACAGTGAAATCAAACTAGAACTCGGGATTAAGAAACTCACTCAAAACTGCTCAACTACATGGAAACTGAACAACCTGCTCCTGAATGACTACTGGGTACATAACGAAATGAAGGCAGAAATAAAGATGTTCTTTGAAACCAACGAGAACAAAGACACAACATACCAGAATCTCTGGGACGCATTCAAAGCAATGTGTAGAGGGAAATTTATAGCACTAAATGCCCACAAGGGAAAGCAGGAAAGATCCAAAATTGACACCCTAACATCACAATTAAAACAACTAGAAAAGCAAGAGCAAACACGTTCAAAAGCTAGCAGAGGCAAGAAATAACTAAAATCAGAGCAGAACTGAAGGAAATAGCAACAAAAAAACCCTTCAAAAAATTAATGAATCCAGGAGCTGGTTTTTTGAAAGGATCAACAAAATTGATAGACTGCTAACAGGACTAATAAAGAAAAAAAGAGAGAAGAATCAAATAGACACAATAAAAAATGATAAAGGGGATATCACCACTGATCCCTCAGAAATACAAACTACCATCAGAGAATACTACAAACACCTCTACGCAAATAAACTAGAAAATCTAGAAGAAATGGATAAATTCCTTGACACATACACTCTCCCAAGACTAAACCAGGAAGAAGTTGAATCTCTGAATAGACCAATAACAGGAGCTGAAATGGTGGCAATAATCAATAGCCTACCAACCAAAAAAAGTCCTGGACCAGATGGATTCACAACCAAATTCTACCAGAGGTACAAGGAGGAACTGGTACTATTCCTTCTGAAACTATTCCAATCAATAGAAGAAGAAGGAATCCTCCCTAACTCATTTTATGAGGCCAGCATCATCCTGATACCAAAGCCGGGAAGAGACACAACCAAAAAAGAGAATTTTAGACGAATATCCTTCATGAACATTGACGCAAAACTCCTCAATAAAATACTGGCAAACCGAATCCAGCAGCACATCAAAAAGCTTATCCACCATGATCAAGTGGGTTTCATCCCTGGGATGCAAGACTGGTTCAATATACACAAATCAATAAATGTAATCCAGCATATAAACAGAACCAAAGACAAAAACCATATGATTATCTCAATGGATGCAGAAAAGGCCTTTGACAAAATTCAACAACGCTTCATGCTAAAAACTCTCAATAAATTAGGTATTGATGGGATGTATCTCAAAATAATAAGAACTATCTTTGACAAACCCACAGCCAATATCATACTGAATGGGCAGAAACTGGAAGCATTCCCTTTGAAAACGGGCACAAGATAGGGATGCCATCTCTCACCACTCCTATTCAACATAGTGTTGGAAGTTCTGGCCAGGGCAATCAGGCAGGAGAAGGAAATAAAGGGTATTCAATTAGGAAAAGAGGAAGTCAGATTGTCCCTGTTTGCAGACGACATGATTGTATATCTAGAAAACCCCATTGTCTCAGCCCAAAATCTCCTTAAGCTAAGTAACCTCAGCAAAGTCTCAGGATGCAAAATCAATGTACAAAAATCACAAGCATTCTTATACACAAATAACAGACAAACAGAGAACCAAATCATGAGTGAACTCACATTCGCAATAGCTTCAAAGAGAATAAAATACTTAGGAATCCAATTTACAAGGGACGTGAAGGACCTCTTCAAGGAGAACTACAAACCACTCTTCAATGAAATAAAAGAGGATACAAACAAATGGAAGAACATTCCATGCTCATGGATAGGAAGAATCAATATCATGAAAATGGCCATACTGCCCAAGGTAATTTATAGATTCAATGCCATCCCCATCAAACTACCAATGACTTTCTTCACAGAATTGGAAAAAACTACTTTAAATTTCATATGGAACCAAAAAAGAGCCTGCATCACCAAGTCAATCCTAAGCCAAAAGAACAAAGCTGGAGGCATCACGCTACCTGACTTCCAACTATATTACAAGGCTACAGTAACCAAAACAGCATGGTACTTGTACCAAAACAGAGATATAGACCAATGGAACAGAACAGAGCCCTCCGAAATAATGCCACATATCTACAACTATCTGATCTTTGACAAACCTGACAAAAAGAAGCAGTGGATTCCCTATTTAATAAATGGTGCTGGGAAAACTGGCTAGCCATATGTAGAAAGCTGAAACTGGATCCCTTCCTTACACCTTATACAAAAATTAATTCAAGATGGATTAAAGACTTAAATGTTAGACTTAAAACCATAAAAACCCTAGAAGAAAACCTAGGCATTACCATTCAGGACATAGGCATGGGCAAGGACTTCATGTCTAAAACACCAGAAGCAATGGCAACAAAAGCCAAAATTGACAAATGGGATCTAATTAAACTAAAGAGCTTCTGCATAGCAAAAGAAACTGTCATCAGAGTGAACAGGCAACCTACAAAATGGGAAAAAATTTTCGCAACCTACTCATCTGACAACGGGATAATATCCAGAATCTACAATGAACTTAAACAAATTTACAAGAAAAAAACAAACAACCCCATCAAAAAGTGGGCAATGGATATGAACAGACACTTCTCAAAAGAAGACATTTATGCAGCCAAAGGACACATGAAAAAATGCTCATCATCACTGGCCATCAGAGAAATGTACATCAAAACCACAATGAGATACCATCTCACACCAGTTAGAATGGCAATCATTAAAAAGTCAGGAAACAACAGGTGCTGGAGAGGATGTGGAGAAATAGGAACACTGTTGGTGGGACTGTAAACTAGTTCAACGATAGTGGAAGTCAGTGTGGCGATTCCTCAAGTATCTGGAACTACAAATACCATTTGACCCAGCCATCCCATTAGTGGGTATATAACCAAAGGACTATAAATCATGCTGCTATAAAGACACATGCACACGTATGTTTATTGTGGCACTATTCACAATAGCAAAGACTTGGAACCAACCCAAATGTCCAACAACGTTAGACTGGATTGAGAAATTGTGGCACATATACACCATGGAATACTATGCAGCCATAAAAAATGATGAGTTCATGTCCTTTGTAGGGACATGGATGAAATTGGAAATCATCATTCTCAGTAAACTATCACAAGGACAAAAAACCAAACACTGCATGTTCTCACTCATAGATGGCAATTGAACAATGAGAACACATGGACACAGGAAGGGGAACATCACACTCTGGGGACTGTTGTGAGGTGGGAGAAGGGGGGAGGGATACCATTAGAAGATGTAACTAATGCTAAATGACAAGTTAATGGGTGCAGCACACCAGACTGGCACATGTATACATATGTAACTAACCGGCACATTGTGCACATAAACCCTAAAGCTTAAAGTATAATAATAATAATAATAATAATAATAAAAATAAAATAAAATAAAAAAATGAAAAATTTGTTTGCCTTGTAAATAAACTACCAAAAAAAAAAAGGAAAAACAAGAGGCAGATCGTTTGTGAAGATAAGTCTTCCCCCTATCAATGAGTAAAGATTTTTGCCCTTTAAAAATTTTTTAAGTCATGATTTTAGGTAAATGAATGACTTATGGTGACGTGGAATTCTATTTCATAACATCAAGTGTTTAAACCTTTAATATATTTAATAGGCTTCCCAAAATCAAATTTCAACTTCAAAATTGTCTTTTCTGACCTCTAACTTTGGGATACTACAGAGGCCCCTGAAGCACCCAAAAGAGAGGTAAACAGGACTATTTAACATGTTAAGTCACATGGGTAGCACTGTCAAAATAAAAAATAATGTTGAACCTTCTTCAGGTTATATTTAGTGTATGTCATCAATCCATTCTAAAATTGTATAGGATTTCTAAAATTCTTGATTTTTTTTTTTTTTCTGAGATGGAGTCTTGCTCTGTCACCCAGGCTGGAGTACAGTGGTGCAATCTTGGCTCACTGCAACCTCCACCTCCCAGGTTCATGCCATTCTCCTGCCTCAGCCTCCCAAGTAGCTGGGACTACAGGCACCTACCACCATGCCAGGCTAATTTTTGTATTTTTAGTAAAGACAGATTTCACTGTGTTAGCCAGGATGATCTCCATCTCCTGACCTCGTGATCCTTCCACCTCGGCCTCCCATAGTGCTGGGATTACAGGCATGAGCCACCACATCCACCCTAATTATGGTTATTAAGTTATTGTAGACCACAAAGATAACCAAATTTCCTTGTCAATTGTCTTTAACTATAACTATTTAAAGTCATTTCCACAGTTAATTGCTTAATGGTGATGCAGTTTCTAAAAACTTCACAAGCATGCAAAATTCTAGAATATGGTGTCTCTTAGAAGATTCATGAAAGAATGAAAAGGACCCTAAAAAACACTTGTGAACACAGATTTCTAATAACTTTAATATCATGGGTAAAAATTCCCCATAAGTTCCAAGATACCCCAAGAATTGGACTGGTTAAGAATTCTCAAAAGTTAAGCTGGGTGCAGCAGCTCACGTCGGCAATCCCAGCACTTTGGGAGGCCGAGGCCAGTGGATCACTTGAGATCAGGAGTTTGAGACCAGCCTGGCCAACGGTGAAAGCCCACCTCTACTAAAAATACAAAAATTAGCCAGGTGTGGTGGTATGTGCCTGTAATCCCAGCTACTCTGGAGGCTGAGGCAAGAGAATTGCTTGAACCCAGGAGGTGGAGGTTGCAGTGAGCCAAGATTGTGCCACTGCACTCCAACCTAGGTAACACAGTGAGACTCTGTCTCAAAAAAAAAAAAAAAAATCCCAAAAGTTTAATAAAAAGACCAACTGGTTTATAAAACTTCTAACCCAAGTAAAACAAAAATTGTATACCAAGGAAATATTTTGCCACATTTGCATGCTAAATCACCAATATTGAAATTGTTTAGATATATAATTTAAATAAACTCCATGGTCTAAGTCAAATTACCTATAACTACTCATCAGTTACCAGTGCCATGCACCTAATTTGGAGAAACAGCTGGTATTCAAGAGGATGTAAGTCTAATGTTAATTAAGCACAGACTTATGAAGAACCAGGATGGCCACCTTATCCTTCTTAAGTCCTTAAAACTTTTGTTATTAAAAGTTCTGCATTCCATAACTCATCATGGAAAGAGAAAATGATCCAAATTAAATATATTGTTGTGGTGATTTCTAAACTGATAAAATAGTTTATAACCAATGTTTGGTTTGTCAAACCTATATTCCTAGGAAAACAATCAAAACTTCAGGTACATTTGGTTACCTGATGGGCCATTTAAACATTTTATAAAGGGATTTCATTCAGTTGTCATTTTCAGTGCATGCTTTCTGATTGTATAAAAGCTCTTCCATGCGAGAGAGTTGATGTTAAAACAGTACATTATTGCCCTGAAGTGTATTTTCACCAGGTAAAGAAAGCCTTTTATGGTTCACTGGGGACAGTCAACCCCTTCACAATCTAGAATCTGATGACTGGATCTTCTGAGAACATCAGAGAAGGACTGCCCTTGCCATCCACATGACAGCAAAACTTTAAAAACTTAAACTTTGGGTTCATAGTTTCACAACTCAGAAGGGTCCCTCCACACTTGGAACCATATATCCATTGGAACCCTTAAGGTAAAGCTAAGAAGGACAGTTCCCCCCAGAAGAAGATGGCATCCTTAATGTGAACAGCTTTTCCCAAGATCACAGATCAAGACTTCTCTACTATCATGAGACTCTTATCTTAAGTATCTGTGCAGCTGCTAACACTTACAGCATGTGGAGAAAACATGGGGTATTATAAAGATTTGGTTGTAGGGAATTAACAAAAAACCCACTTAGTTAAGCAAGTAAACTCTTTATCTAATTCATTCTTTAATCTATTTTATTTTAGGTGGTTTGATTTATGGGGACCCTGAGTAAGGAGCATATACCACATTCTTGGTATTATGCCAGTAGTCATAAGAGTCTCCCTGGTGCACTGTACTTACTCAAATGTTTTAAGAGTTTGCATGCAGGCATCTCTAAAATGTCAAATGGTATCTCTTCAACTGGAATGACAAGAGATTTTAAAAAAATGTGCAACCATAAGGACACTGTAACCTATGAGTGACCTGCGAAACCAGAGACCCAAAACAATGGGAGTGATGTGCTTAAACTGGAACCCAAAACAATGGGAGTGACATGCTAAACCAGAAACCCAAAACAATGGGAGTGACTTGCTAAAACTGGAACCCAAAACAATGGGAGTGACGTGCTAAAACCGGAAATGAAAACAATGGGAGTGATGTGCTTAAATAGGAACCCAAAACAATGGGAGTGACCTGCTAAACCAAACACCCAAAACAGTGGGAGTGACGTGCTAAAACCAGAACCCAAAACATGGGAGTGATGTGCTAAAACCGGAACCGAAAACAATGGGAGTGACGTGCTAAACCAGAAACACAAAACAGTGGGAATGATGTGCTAAAACCGGAACCCAAAACAATGGTAACTAAGAGTGATGCTAAGGCCCTATATTTTGGTCATACTCTCAACTAAGTGAGAACTTGACTGAAAAGGAGGATTTTTTTTTTCTAAGACAGAGTCTTGGTGTGTCCCACAGAGTGGAGTGCAGTGGCACGATCTCAGCTCACTGTAAGCTCCGCCTCCCGGGTTCAGGCCATTCTCCTGCCTCAGCCTCCTGAGTAGCTGGGAATACAGGCACCCGCCACTATGCTTGGCTAATTTTTTGTATTTTTAGTAGAGACGGGGTTTCACCATATTAGCAAGGATGGTCTCAATCTCCTGACCTCGTGATCTGCCCACCTCAGCCTCCCAAAGTGCTAGGATTACAGGTGTGAGCCACCGCGCCCAGCCAAAAGGAGGAATTTTTTAAGCAAAACTATGGGAGGCCATTGTTTTGAACTAAGCTCATGCAATAGGTCCCAACAGACCAAACCAAACCAAAATGGAGTCACTCATGCTAAATGTAACATAATTAAACTAAGACTTTAAGGAAACATATAAATCCTAGAACAAACCAGGTTTTGTTTTTCTCCTATAAACAGGATGTTCCAGCATAAGAAGATACCTTCTACTCAAGTCCTTGTTCCACCTTTTCAAATCTCACTGGTCTATTTCCCAGTGGGTTTCTAAACCAAGTAAGTATATTTGCAATGGTAATAGTGACACCAGTGACTGAAGTTTTGGCCAATCTCTCAAAATTGAGAAAATAACCAAAGGGAAGGCATTGTTAAAATGAACTAAGTATGGCCTGAGAAGGACTCCATAATTCTATATATGAGTCCTTGTGGATGAACTGCAACCTACCTTAATAGGTATACAAGAATGAAAAAATAACTTGAGAGTATGCACCTGGAACAACAGCTACATCTTGGCCAATCCCAATGGCCAAACTTCAACAACTCAGGCACTGCCAAATGTTCAAAATGTGTTCAAACAAGGCAAATGCTGAGTTGTTTCTGTACCTCACTTCCGATTTCGGTATGCCATTTCCCTTTTGTCTATAAATCTTCTTCCACCACATGACTGCGCTGGAGTCTCTGTGAATCTGCTGTGATTCTGGGGACTGTCCGATTTGTGAATCGTTTATTGATCAATTAAACTCCTTTAAAGTTTTTCTTTTAACAGAACTAACACAGAAGAATTTCCAGATCATGAACAGATGTTTTGTAATACCCAACGTTGTATTAACATGAATAGATTGTTCCTTAGATAGCTAACCTTGTTTTTAATATGAATAGACTCTCCCTTAGCTGAGAAAACCAGACAAATTCCATTTGGCTCCTTCATTTACAAAACATCAAGGGCTTCTTACACACCCCCTTTCCTCAAGGACTTTAACTTGTGCAAGCTGATTTTCAACATATCAAAGAGTGCAATTAACTGATAAAGTGCTGAGACAAGAGATGTCCGCAGTTCCCAGCAAATTACTCAGAGATAGTATCATAAAGCCCCCACATTTGTCCGGCAGATAATGCCCAGAGCACCCTCACCTATCACTTTTTGGTGAATTTAAAGCCCCTGCACCTGGAACAGTTTGTTTTCCTGTAACCATCTGTCTTTTTAACTTTTTTGTCTGTTTATTTCTTCTGTAAAGTTGCTGCAGCTAGAATCCCCCCTCCCCTCTCTAAATCAAAGTATAAAAGAAAATCTAGTCCCTTCTTTGGGGCCGAGAGAATTTCGTGCGTTAGCCGTCTCTCAGTCACCGGCTAATAAAGGACTCCTGAATTCGTCTCAAAGTGTGGCGTTTCTCTCTCACTCAGGTACGACAGTTTCAACTATGGTAGAAGACTCGAGTAAGGCAAATACAGTCCCCCTAAATTTGACTATTATTTAGGTTAATGGTGAGTTTAGAAGAAATGAGTTAAGACTACACAGAGTGGGCTAAAGTGCAAATAAACACTGGAAATATTTCCCAGAAAATATGACTTTGAACAGGCTGCTGCACACCCTGCATGTAGAGACAAACTAAGAAAAAGTGTGGAGAGTTATTTAAGGACCTATGGTTAACTCAGTCCTCAAGATGTTCCGGGTTTCATCCATGAATCAAGGAGGACCTCCCAAAAGCTGTTTGGGACCACACTCTTTGAGCAAGGAGCATATCTTACGATGGAAGCTGTGCTTTAGCGGCAGATGACCATTTCCACTGCACAACACACTGTGCTTTAGCGGAAGATGACCGTTTCCACTGTACAACACTACAAGTGGTTACTGCCAGGCCGGTGTGAAATATGTTCCAGCACATAATCTATGTCACCAATGAAGGTGGTGGTTCAGACTTGGTGCACGCAAGCTTTCCTGTCCCACAAGAACACAGCATGTTCTCTTCTCGGGTTCCACTCCAATCACGTAACAAATATGACTGCCTTTTTTGTCTCGGCATCAGAAAGATCAGAGGAAAATTTGCACCCAACTTAGACAACTCTAAGCTCTTATAACCTGCCTATATCTACAGGTCAGCTTTATCTTATTTATGTATATTTCCTTCAACCTGAGTTTTACTTATTTCTACTTTTCCTTTTTAATTCACAGACACCCAAAAACTCAGAAAATACAGTGTAAAACAAAGTGAAGAACAAATAAACAACTCACCAGAGATTTATTCGTTTCCTGTTGCTCTTGGAAACACCCAGAGGACACTGGAAACATAGCTGGGATAGAAGGCAAATGACGTGGCTTAAGCAGAGAACTGGTGTGGTGTAGTCCCAGATTCTTCTGCCCAACACTCTAGACACATTACCTGGGAAAGCCCTCCTCCCTCCTGAAAAAGAAAAACTTCCCCATGGGAGAAGAGTCCTTCACGCCTCATTAGGGGCATCAAAGTCTCAAGTTAAGATAAGATACATCTACAAGTACATTAATTGGTAGACATTAGATGCACAATTTATTTTTGAATAAAAATATGTATTACCTATTAATTTAGTAACAATATGATCTAAAGATATAATCTAATAATTTAATGCAAAGAAACATTATAAGTTCACTAAAATAAATGTTATAGAAATATACTAGGCTGTATTAACTATTTTCCTATTTATATGTAGATTCCACAAATAACTTCATATGAGTGTTCCCATGACAGTACATATTGCTTTTCTATACCTGAACATCATGGAAAGTGCATCTTGCAAACCAGCAATTTTGGCCTACAATTACATTTTTTAAAATGTACATAATATGTATTTCCTACAGTACACCATTGTACTCATGTTTCCCAATAACAGCTTTCCTTCTATGCAAGCCCTCATATTATGCTCTGATAATAAATTGGGCTTTTCCATCTGACTTGTCCAGTGAATGGACAATGGAAAATGTGATGCAAATATCCATTGGTTCTTGCCATTTTGGACACAGTCAAATTGTGAAGAGGTCTGGAGCTACCCTGTTGGAGACACAGGGCCTAGCCAAGAGTCACCACAAACCACCAGATTGTGAAGGAAACTATCTTAAACCAACCAGGCTCAGTCAAGGCACCAGGTGACTAAGGACTTTTTGTGATCCAGGCAACACAAATATATCAACTACCCAGCTGAACCCACCACACCAAAATGCAGATCCACAGAACTTCAAACAAATAAAATGGTGTTTGTTTTTTATAAGCCAGTAAGGTTTAATTAGTTCCTTAAACAGCAAGTATTAACTGTTACACTTAAGTGAACAGAATTCACTTCTGTGTTTTTAACAAAATTACGTAGGGGGAGAAAATCTTAAATTACAAATCAAATACAATCAATAGAACTTCGCAATCTAATGCTAAATTTGGGGATGGACTAGGTTTAATATATCTCAGACGCTGGGAAAAACGAGCTAAGGTTGAAGGAATGGGACTGTGTTTGGAGAGTATTTTAATCTTCTCAAGTATGACAGGTCACTCCTGTACCCCAGACCACACTTTCAGGCCCCTTCAAATAAGGAATATTTCCTAGGTCCTTGCCTGTTCTTCTCAACTGAATTCACCTCAACCTTCTGAAAGTTCGTCCAAACCTTCTACTATCACCTAGTCTTTGCAAATCTTGTGCATTCTAGGGAGTAGAATTAATATTTCCTGAGCGAGGAAAACTGGGATCCTCACCTGTGACCTTTTTTCCTCCTCTGAAGCACCAGTGAGAGGTTAGACCAGACAGCTGTTCTTTCAAGTGCGCTTCTTATTCATAGGGAACCCTCTCTTTCAAACTTTGTAACACACAGTTAAGACTGAAGTACCCTTAAGGCTGAAGACCATCATCCATTATGCCATCTCCCTCGCGGAATCAGTGAGTTCTTCCCTGGAAACTAGGTCTCGTATAAACTTCTGTAAATGCAACCCAGGAGGACTAGGCAGGTCACACAGTGAAGGAGGGAACCAGAAACTTCACTTGCTAAAGAGACACCAGGAAACCCGACTAATACAAACGCCAAGTTTAAGACTAGAGGCGCACGCATTTCGCACTACTCCTCTGGGAATGGGGAACGTCTCCCGAGAACTGAGTGTTAGCACTGGGACAGATGGGCAAACTGAGCGTCATGCGGGTTGGTAACCGGGTCCCTCAGCGGCAGGACAGGAGCGCGGCCTGCAGACTCCGGGCCCAGGGCCACCGGCCTCGCCTACCCGCTCCTGCGCCTCTAGAACCCGCTTCACTGCCGGGACCCCATGCCTGTCCTCCCAGCCCCCGCCAGGGTCCGCTGCCCGCACCTGCACTTCAGGCCCTGCCCGCCCGCGATGCGCCCACGCGTCTGCTCCCACAACTAGGGGACACTGGTCCGGCCCCCCGGGATCCCCCGAGGCCCACGGGTTCCTCTTCGCCCTCGCACCGACCCGCAGGGACATAGAACCAAGCCCCAAGCCGGCCCCGCTACAAGACCGCCTCTGGGTGACGCACTTCCGGATGAAAATGGCGGAGTGGGCCGGGCGGCGCATGCGCAGAGAGAAAATCTGGTTCCCAAAGTCCTTGATGGTAACATCATTGGAAAGTGACACTACATTTCCCATGAGGCTCTGTGGTGCCCCGTTAGGAACCCACGCCGGACATTCTGTTTAGTCCAGCAGTTGAGTCCAGTTACCCAGAGACACGGACTTAATGAATCAGGACTGGTCCCTACCCAGGTGACACAGATATGGCATTCTGGTTCTTTATTAAATCCTGATTTCACAGCCTGGGACATTGTGAAAATAATGGAGAAATTTCAATAGAGGCCAATTGGTCTATGCTGTTAATGAGTAACTTTTTTTTTTTTTTTTTTTTTTGAGACGGAGTCTCACTCTGTCGCCCAGGCTGGAGTGCAATGGTGCGATCTCGGCTCACTGCAACCTCCGCTTCCCGGGTTCAAGCGATTCTCCTGCCTCAGCCTCCTGAGTAGCTGGGATTACAGGCGCGCCACCACGCTTGACTAATTTTTGTATTTTTAGTAGAGACGGGTTTTCGCCATGTTGGTCAGGCTGGTCTCCAACTCCTGACCTCGTGATCCGCCCTCCTCGGCCTCCCAAAGTGCTGGAATTACAGGCGTGAGCCACTGCGCCCAGCCCTCAAGTCTATTTTTTATAGATGCATTCGAAAGTGTGAAAAAAATCATGTCTGTATTTTACTTTAAAATTTTAAAAACACAACTAATGAATATGGTAATTCTCTTCCAATCCGTTATCTTTTCTCTCACTTAACTAATTTGTGAGCCTTCAATTTACACATTTAGAAAATATTTTCTAGTGTTAACAGCGTCATAAGACAGGTGCACTCCATAATCTTTGTGACAACTTACACTTCCAGTGTCTGATAAATATTTGCCCGTAAACTCCCACGTTTCATCCATCCATCAATCAATCAAATCTCCCTATCTTTATTTATTTATTGTGAGAAAGACCTGAAATTTGTCTTTCCTTCCCTGATTTCTGCCACAAACTAGGCAAGGCATTCTGCCTAGGGTTTTCTCAGAACCCCGGCTACCACCGAGGTTCCTAACAGGGAAACGCAGGCTTGAATGCTCAGGGTTGATGTGAGAGTGAGTGTGAAACGGGGGTGGGGTGAAAGGGCAGTGAACTTTGTAGGTGGGTAGATGGGGGTGTGAAGGGCTTTCAGGTAAGAGGCACGCATGAAACTGGGAGAGACAGCGAAAGCACCTCAGGCCTCAGATCACCAGAAGATGCTCCCACCAGTGCCATGACAGTTTGCCAATGCCATGGTAGCACGGGAAGTCCCCAACCCTTGCCATGGAAACAGCTGGAAGTTACTGCCCATTTCTAGCTATTTCTGAATAACCCTCCCCTTAATTAGCATGCCATTAAAAGTGAAATATAAAAATGACTGCAAGCCACCCCTAGGCTGCTACTCTGGGAGCACAACCCACGGAGGGCTCCCTGTCCTGCAGGAGCAGAAGCAGGGCTGTAACACCGCCAGTGCCCCTGTAGAGCTGCTTTCTTCCACCACAGGCTTGCTTTTGGATTCCTTCCTGAGCGATGCCAAGAACCTGCCCTTCCTCAGTGTGACTCTTGCCTAAAACCTATCCCTGGTATTCTCTTTTCCTAAGCATGACCTGACTTGTTCTTTCATCTCCTCTGATCTTGCAATTGGTCCTCAGTGACTCTATTCCGCAGATCCAGAAAACTCAACCTTAATCTTCCCAGAGCCCTGTTTTCTCCAATATTGGAAACTCTAGCCTTGTTTTCTCAGAAGCCTAGATTACAGGCCTCTCTCTTGAACACCTATTGGTAAGGTATCTGGGGATCCTTTGAATACACGATGACTGGCAGGGGTTACATAGGGGAAATCAGTGCCTGACAATTCGCCTTCCAGGATATGGATTGTCATTCTCTCTCTTTGTGGTCCTCAGTCTCTTATACATAAAAGTAGAGATTGTAATACTCATTTGACTTGCAGATACCTCACCCTGAACCCACCTAATATTATGTAAAAGCCAAGAATGCAAACCCTTTCCTCACCCCATGAAGGTAAAGTCCTCAGAGCCAAGGAGAGAAGGCTCAGGGATGGTACCTGGGTGTTTCCAACACTAACCATGTTTTTAGTGTTCAAGTTTAAGCTTCTTATGTTAAAGTTACCCCAGCTTTAATTCTATTGTAACAAGATTTATTTTTGTAATTCCATTTTTGGATTCTTGATTCTTGGTAAAGAAATACAGTTATTTTTGTATACCAATCTTACATAGTGTTACATTCCTAAATTTGTTAATGAGTCCTACCACTTTTTAGTAAATTTCTTATGATTTTCTAAATGCAAGATCATGTCATCTGTACATAAAGATAACTGTACTTCTTCCTTTTCAATCTAGATGCCGTTTATTTATTTACATTGCCAAGTTGTCCCAGCTACCAGTTATCAAGTAAAAGGGTCTCACTGCCCAGAGCACTAGAAGCCGGTACCACGACACTGAGTTTTTGAGAAAAGGAAAACTTTAAAGTCAAACCAAACCCTATGGGATACAGGCCGGGCGAAGTGGCTCATACCTGTAATCCCAGCACTTTGGGAGGCCGAGTCGGGCGGATCACGAGGTCAGGAGATCGAGACCATCCTGGCTAACACGGTGAAACCCTGTCTCTACTAAAAATACAAAAAACAAAAATTAGCCTGGCATGGTGGTGGGCACCTGTAGTCCCAGCTACTCGGGAGGCTCAGGTGGGAGAATGGCATGAACCCAGAAGGCAGAGCTTGTAGTAAGCCAAGATTGAGCCACTGCACTCCAGCCTGGGCAACAGAGAGAGATTCTGTCTCAAAAAAAAAAAAAAAAGACAAAAACAAAAAAACAAAAAACAAACCATGGGATACAGCAAAAACAGTACTAAGGAGTAAGTTTACAGCAACAAGCATCTACATCAAAAAAAGTAGAAAAACTTCAAATAAACAACCTAATAATGCATCTTAAATAATTAGAAAAGCAAGAACAAACCAAAACCAAAATTAGTAGAAGGAAACATAGCAAAGATCAGAGCAGAAATAAATGAAATTGAAATTTAAAAATATAAAATATCAATGAAATGAAAAGTTAATATTTTTTAAAAGATCAACAAAATCAACAAACATTTAGCCAGACTAAGAGAAAAGAGAGAAGACTCAAATACATAAAACCAGAGATTAAAAAGGAGACACTACAACTGATACTGCAGAAATTCAAAGAATCATTAGAAACTACTATGACCAACTATATTCCAATAAATTGAAAAACCTGCAAGTAATGGCCAGGCACCGTGGCCCATGCCTGTAATCCCAACACTTTGAGAGGACAAGGCAGGTGATCATCTGAGGTCAGGAGTTCAAGACCAGCCTGGCCAACATGGTGAAACCCCATCTCTACTAAAAATACAAAAATTAGCCAGGCATGGTGGTGTGCACCTCTACTCCCAGCTACTCCTGAGGCTGAGGCAGGAGAATCACTTGAACCTGGGAGGCAGAAGTTGCAGTGAGCTGAGATTGTATCAAGCTCCATCCTGGGTGACAGAGCAAGACTCCATCTCAAAAAAAAAAAAAAACAAAACAAAAACAAAAACAAAAAAACCCACAAAAAAACAAAAACAACCAAAAAACAAACCTAGAAGAAATGGATAAATGAGATTGAACCCATAATAAAACATCTCCTAGCAAAGAAAAGCCTGGATCCAATGGCTTCACTGATTAATTTTACCAAACATCGAAGGAAGAATTACTATCAATCCTACTCAAACTATTCCAAAAAACAAAGAAGGCTGTAGTATTTCCATACTCATTCTATGAAAAAGACCATTCATCATGTCTAAGTGGGATTTACCTCAAGAATGCCAACATGGTTCAACATATGCAAATCAATCAATGTGACACATCATATCAACAGAATGAAGGACAAAAACCATATGGTAATTTCAATTGATGCTGAAAAGCATTTAATAAAATCCAACATCCCTGTGATAAAAATAAACCCTAAAAAAAGCTAGATTTAGAAGGAACATACCACAACACAATAAAAACCATATGCAACAGACCAACAGCCAGTATCATCCTGAACAGAGATAACCTGAAAGTCTTTCTTCTAAGATCTGGAACAAGGCAAGAATGTCCACTTCCAACACTGTTACTCAACATAGTACTGGAAGTCCTAGCTAAAGCAATCCAGAAAAGTGAAAAACAATAAAGGGCATCCAAATTGAAAGAAGTAAAATTATTATTGTTTTCTTGTTTGCAGGTGATTTGATCTTATATTTGGAAGAACCTAAGGACTCCACCAAAAAGCTATTAGAACTGATTAACAAATTCAGAGTCACACGATACAAAATCAAAATACAAAACTCAGTAGCATTTCTAAATTCCAAAAATGAACAATCTAAAGCAGAAAATAAAGTACATACTCCCATTTACAATAGCTACAAATAAAATAAAATATCTAGGAATAAATGTAACAAAAGAAGTGAAAGATCTCTACGATGAAAACTATAGAACACCAATGCAAAAAAATTAAAGAAGACACCAAAAAAATGGAAAGATAGTCCATGTTCATTGAATGGAAGAATAAATATTGTTAAAATACACATACTTCACAAAGCAATCTACAGATTCAATGCAATCCCTATTGAAATACTAATAACATTCTTCACAGAAACAGAAAAAAAAATCCTAAAATTTATATGAAATCATAAAAGACCCAGAATACCCAAAGCCATCCTTAGCAAAAAGAACAAAACTGGAAGAATCACATCACCTGACGTTAAATTATACTACAGGGCAATTGTAAACAAAGCAGCATGATACTGGCATAAAACAGACACATAGACCAATGGAACAGAATAGAGAACCCAGAAATAAATCCTTACATTTACAAATAACTCATTTTCAATGAAGATTCCAAGAATATACATGGGGGAGAGGACAGTCTCTTCAACAAATTGTGCTGGGAAAACTAGATATTCATTGGCAGAATAATTTTTTTTTTTGAGATGGAGTCTAGCTCTGTTGCTCAGGCTGCAGTGCAGTGGCACGATCTGGGCTCACTGCAAGCTCCACCTCCCTGGTTCACACCATTCTCCTCCTCAGCCTCCCAAGTAGCTGGGAGTACAGGTGCCCCCACCACACCCAGCTAATTTTTTTTTTGTATTTTTAGTAGAGACGGAGTTTCACTGTGTTAGCCAGGATGGTCTCGATATCCTGCCCTCATGATCTGCCCACCTCAGCCTCCCAAAGTCATTGGCAGAATAATTAAACTAGAACCCTCTCTTGCGCTATATACAAAAATCAAATCCAAATGGGTTAAAGACTTAAATCAAGGACAAGAAACTAGTGAAAGAAAACATTAGGGAAACTCTCCAGAAAATTGGTCTGGGCAAAGATTTCTTGAGTAATACCCCAAAAGCCCAGGCAACCAAAGCAGAAATGAACAAATGGTATCACATGAAGTTCAAAAGTTTCTGCATAGTATAGAAAACAATGGACAAAGTGAAAAGACAATCCACAGAATGGAAGAAAATATTTGCAAACTATATATCTGACAAGGGATTAATAACCAGAATATATAAGGAGTTCAAACAACTCTATAAGAAAAAAAAAACTAATAATCCAATTATTTAAATGGGCAAAAAATCTGAACAGACATTTCTCAAAAGAAGGCACACAGGTCAGGCGCGGTGGCTCTCACCTGTAATTCCAGCATTTTGGGGAGCCAAGACAGGTGGACCACTTGAGCCCAGGAGTTCAAGACCAACCTGAAAAACATAGCAAATAATTTTAAAAACTATCTGGGCATGGTGATGCATGCCTGTGGTCCCAGCTACTCAGGAGGCTGAGGTGGGAGGATTGCTTGAACCCTGGTAGTCAAAACTACAGTAAGCCATCATCATACCACTGCACTCCAGCCTGGGTGACAGAGTGAGACCCTGTCTCAAAAAATGAGCAAAAACAAAAAAGAAGATATATAAATGTCAAATAGGTATATGAAACGGTGCTCAATATCATTGATCATCAGAGCATTTCAAATCAAAACTACAATAAGATATCATCTTACCCCCATTAAAATGGCTTTTATGCAAAAGAGAGGCAATAACAAATGCTTGCAAGAATGTGGGGAAAAGAGAACCCTCTTACTCTGTTGGTGGGAATGTAAATTAGTACATTCACTATGGAGAACAATATGGAGGTCCCTCAAAAAATTAAAAATAGAACTATCATATGATACAGCAATCCTGCAATGCAGCAACCCAGCAATGCTGGGTATATACCCAAGGGAGGGAAAATTAGTATATCAAAGAGTTATCTGCATTCCCATATTTATTTCAGCACTATTCATAATAGCCAAGATTTGGAAGCAACCTAAGTGTGCATCAACAGATGAAGGAATAAAGAAAATGTAGTACATGTACACAATGGAGTACTCTTCGGCCATGAAAAAGAATAAGATTCTGTCATTTGCAACAACGTGGATGGAACTAGGGGACATTATGTTAAGTACAATGAGCCAGGCACAGAAAGACTTTGCATGTTCTCACACTTTTGTGGGAGCTAAAAATTAAAACAATTGAACTCATCAAGATAGAGAGTAGACTGAGAGTTTCCAGAGGTTGGGAAGAGTAGCGGTGTTACGGGATCTTTGGAGTGTCACTTTTCTGGACAGAAAACTCTATGGCTGGTGGCACCTTTACCTGAGTTTTGCTTGGGCCCCGCCCACTCAGCCTGGCAGGCTGTGCTCAGCTCATGCTACCAGGTTGGATCCCATGTTTGCCAAGGGAGACTGCGCGGAGTGGCAAGGGGTGTGTGAGCAAGCATGGGGTCTGGCCACTGTGCAGTCAGACTTCCTGGCTGCTGCAGTGGAGCAGGTAACTCCAGGTGCCAACATGGGTACCAGCTCTCCACAAGTCTGTGGCTGGACCACGGGCACCGCAAGCAGCTTCCACAGCTGGCACACTGGGAACACAGTGGCACCCAGAAGCTTGGAGATACCAGGAACCACAGGGCCCCAAAGAGGGAATCACAGCCCTGGCTCGGGGAGCTCCCAGGTCTGGGCTTCCCAAAGGGTCACAGCTCTTCTTTCCTTCTCTTTGCCCACAATGTGGCTAGCAAGGGGCATGTCTCAGCCCTGTTTGTGTTACAGCTCTTTCAGCCTCTTCCCTAGGATTTGTCATAATTAATTCTCATATTGTCTTATTTTTTTACATGTGTTTCAACTTCAGAAGATGCATGGATCTAAACACAACATGATGTGTTAGCTAGCTGCCATATGAATTTCTCCCTGTTTCACCACTATGTAGCCTAAAGTTATTCCATCATCCATGACTATACTGGCTAAAGAGTCTAAAGATCTTTGTTTGGTAGCTATGGCTTCAGCTAGTTCATTTGCTAAGTTACCTAGAGTGGTTGGTTGACAGATTTCTAATTATACGTTCATGAGAGGTTACTCCCCACCATTGCAAGTGACTTCTGCCAAACATAGGCCAAAATTCATCTCCTTGGTGTGCAGGTATGGTTTGTCTAATCCTGGAAAGTAATTTCGATGAATTACTTCAGTGTTCAGAAACATTGGAGTTATAAATAGAAAGAGGAAGAGTCACATAACCTAATAGACAATTACTTCTCATATGCCAGCGGTCAACACATTCATAAGCCCATGGGTGGTTGATCCAGGGACCACACAGTGTCCCTGACAGATTCTGAAAGTTAAGGCTTTGGTTTACTGGTAACAGAGACAGGTTAAAGTACATGTCTTCAGTCTTGAGTAGAGTGTAATCAGTCTCATTTTTTTTTTAATGAGACAAACATCAAGTAAAGACCTTGACAAGAAGGAAGAGAAATCCCGAGATTCTATAATCATAATAATCGAATTGTAATTGCTAGTTTAAGTAGTCCTTCAAAAAATACATCTCATTCCTGACAGGATAAAAGAAGTTTTTAAAAATATATTATATTCAGATTCACTAGGGAACACTTGGATCCAGGAAATAATTCAGGATTCAGCCCAAATTATAGGCAAATAATAAAAACTCTAAAACAATGATCAGGGTTGGAATCTAATAGCATATGTCATAGTTTTCTTTTGGAACAAAAATTTTCTCTAGTCCATCATTTTATCAAAGACAAATCATAGTAGGACCAATTTTGTATGCAAAATAAGTTTTAGTCTTATCATACCTGGCCTGATTATTTCCATAAAGTGCAGCAAGAATATTTATTGGCCATACAGGCTTCTTAAAATTGGCTTTGTTGGAAATTTGAAATAAGGAATCTTAGACTTTTAAGAGTCTTGACGCCAGCCAAGTCAAAGATTTGCATCAGACTGTGTCTGTAATACTTTTTTAACCTACTTTTTAAAATTATACTTTAAGTTCTGGGGTACATGTGCCGAAAGTGCAGGTTTGTTACATAGGTATATATATTCTGTGGTGGTTTGCTGCACTCATCAACCCATTACCTATATTAGACATTTCTCCTAATGCTATTCCTCCCCCTTCCCCCACCCCCCAACAGGCCCCAGTGTGTGATGTTCCCCTCCCTGTGACCATGTGTTCTCATTGTTCAACTCCCACTTATGAGTGAGAACATGTGGTGTTTGGTTTTCTGTTCTTGTGTTAGTTTGCCGAGAATGATGGTTTCCAGCTTCTTCCATGTCCCTGCAAAGGACATGAACTCATCCTTTTTTATGGCTGCATAGTATTCCATGGTGTATATGTGCCACATTTTCTTTATTCAGTCTATCATTGATGGGCATTTGGGTTGGTTCCAAGTCTTTGTTATTGTGAACAGTCCTGCAATAAACATACATGTGCATGTGTCTTTATAGTAGAATGATTTATAATCCTTTGGGTATATACCCAGTAATGGGATTGCTGGGCCAAATGGTATTTCTAGTTCTAGATCCTTGAGGAATAGCCACACTGTCTTCCACAATGGTTGAACTAATTTACACTCCCACCAACAGTGTAAAAGCCTTCCTATTTCTCCACACCCTCTCCAGTACCTGTTGTTTCCTGACTCTTTAATGATCGCCACTCTAACTGGCATGAGATGGTATCTCATTGTGGTTTTGATTTGCATTTCTCTAATGACTAGTGATGTTGAGCTTTTTTTTTCATAAGTTTGTTGGTTGCATAATTGTCCTCTTTTGAGAAGTGTCTGTTCACATCCTTCGCCCACTTTTCAATGGGGTTGTTTTATCTTGTAAATTTATTTAAGTTCTTTGTAGATTCTGGATATTAGCCCTTTGTCAGATGGATAGATTGCAAAAATTTTCTCCCATTTTGTAGGTTGCCCATTCATTCTGATAGTTTCTTTTTCTGTCCAGAAGCTCTTTAGTTTAATTAGGTCCCATTTGTCAATTTTGGCTTTTGTTGCCTTTGTTTTTGGTGTTTTAGTCAGGAAGTCTTTGCCCATGTTTATGTCCTGAATGGTATTGCCTAGGTTTTCCTCTACGGTTTTTATGGCTTTAGGTCTTATGTTTAAGTCTTTAACCCATCTTGAGTTAATTTTTGTATAAGGTGTAAGGAAAGGATCCAGTTTCAGCTTTCTGCCTATGGCTAGCCAGTTTTCCCAACACCATTTATTAAATAGGGAATCCTTTCCCCAGTGATTGTTTTTCTGAGGTTTCTCAAAGATCAGATGGTTGTAGATGTGTGGTGTTAATTCTGAGGCCTCTGTTCTGTTCCTTTGATCTATATATTTGTTTTGGTAACAGCACCATGCTCTTTTGGTTACTGTAGCTTGTAGTATATTTTGAAGTCAGGTACCATGATGCTTCCAGCTTTGTTCTTTTTGGTTAGGATTGTCTTGGCTATTCGGGCTCTTTTTTGATTCCATATGAAATTTAAAGTATATTTTTCCAATTCCGTGGAGAAAGTCAATAGTAGTTTAATGGGGATAGCAGTGAATCTATAAATTACTTTGGGCAGTATGGCCACTTTCATGATACTGATTCTTCCTATCTATGAGCATGGAATGATTTTCCATTTGTTTGTGTCCTCTCTTATTTCCTTGAGGAGTGGTTTGTAGTTCTCCTTGAAGAGGTCCTTCACATCCTTGTCAGTTGCATTCCTAGGTATTTCATTCTTTTTATAGCAATGGTGAATGGGAGTTCACTCACAGTTTGGCTCTCTGTTTGTCTGTTATTGCTGTATAGGAATGCTTGTGATTTTTGCACATTGATTTTGTATCCTGAAACTTTGCTGAAGTTGCTTATCAGCTTAAGGAGATTTTGGGTGGAGATGATGGGGTTTTCTAAATATACAATCATGTCATCTGCAAACAGAGACCATTTGACTTCCTCTTTTCCTAATTGAATACCCTTTATTTCTTTCTCTTGCCTGATTGCCCTGGCCAGAACTTCCAATACTATGTTGAATAGGAGTAGTGAGAGAGGGCATCCTTGTCTTGTGCTGATTTTCAAAGGGAATGCTTCCAGTTTTTGCACATTCAGTATGTTATTGGCTGTGGGCTTGTCATAAATAGCACTTACTATTTTGAGATATGTTCCATCAATACCAGTTTATTGAGAGTTTTTAGCATGAAGGGCTGTTGAAATTTGTCAAAGGCCCTTTCTGCATCTATTGAGATAATCATGCAGTTTTTGTCATTTGTTCCCTTTATGTGATGGATTACATTTATTGATTTGCATATGTTGAACCATCCTTGCATCCCAGGGGTGAAGCTGACTTGATCATGGTGGACAAGCTTTTTGATGTGCTGCTGGATTCAGTTTTCCAGTATTTTATCCAGGATTTCTGCATCGATGCTCATCAGGGATATTGGCCTAAAATTTTCTTTTTTTGTTGTGTCCCTGTGAGGTTTTGGTATCAAGGTGATGCTGACCTCATAAAGTGAGTTAGGGAGGATTCTCTCTTTTTCTATTGTTTGGAATAGTTTCAGAAGGAATGGTACCAGCTCCTCTTTGTACCTCTCATAGAATTCGGCTGTGAATCCGTCTGGTCCTGGAATTTTTTTGGTTGGTAGGCTATAATTAATGCCTCATTTTCAGAACTTGTTATTGGTCTATTCAGGAATTTCACTTCTTCCTTGTTTAGTCTTTGTAGTATTCTCTGATGATAATTTGTATTTCTGTGGGATCAGTGGTGATATCCCCTTAATCATGTTTTATTGCATCTATTTGATTCTTCTCTCTTTTCTTCTTTATTAGTCTGGCTAGTGGTCTGTTTTGTTGATGTTTTCAAAAAACCAGCTCCTGGATTCATTGATTTTTTGAAGGGTTTTTCATGTCTCTATCTCCTTCAATTCTGCTCTGATCTTATTTGTGTCTTGTCTCCTGTTAGCTTTTGAATTTGTTTGTTCTTGCTTCTCTAGTTCTTTTAATTTTGATGTTAAGGTGTCAATTTTAGATCTTTCCTGCTTTCTCTTGTGGACATTTAGTGCTATAAATTTTCCCTCTACACACTGCTTTAAATGTGTCCCAGAGATTCTGGGACGTTGTGTCTTTGTTTTCATTGGTTTTGAAGAACATCTTTATTTCTGCCTTCATTTAGTTATTTACCCAGTAGTCATTCAGGAGCAGGTCACCCAGTTTCCATGTAGTTGTGAGGTTTTGAGTGAGTTTCTAAATCCTGCATACTAATTTGAATGCATTGTGGTCTGAGAGACTGTTTGTTATGATTTCAATTCTTTTGCATTTCCTGAGGAGAGTTTTACTTCCAATTATGTGGTCAATTTTAGAATAAGTGCAATGTGGTGCTGAGAAGAAGGTATATTCTGTTGATTTGCGGTGGAGAGTTCTGTAGAGATCTTTTAGGTCCACTTGGTCCAGAACTGAGTTCAAGTCCTGGATATTATTGTTAATTTTCTGTCTCATTGATCTAATATTGAGAGTGGAGTGTTAAAGTCTCCCACTATTATTGTGTGGGAGTCTAAGTCTCTTTGTAGGTCTTTAAGAACTTGCTTTATGAATGTGAGTGCTCCTGTATTGGGTGCATATATGTCTAGGATAGTTAGCTCTTCTTGTTGCATTGATCCCTTTACCATTATGTAACGCCTTCTTTGTCTCTTTTGATCTTTGTTGGCTTAAGATCTGTTTTATCAGAAGCTAGGATTGCAACCCCTGCCTTTTGTTGCTTTCCACTTGCTTGGTAAATGTTCCTCCATCCCTTTATTTTGAGCCTATGTGTATGAGATGGGTCTCCTGAGTACAGCACATTGATGGGTCTTGACTCTTTAACCAATTTGCCAGTCTGTGTCTTTCAATTGGGGACATTTAGCTCATTTACATTTAAGGTTAATATTGTTATGTATGAATTTGATCCTGTCATTATGATACTAGCTGGTTATTTTGCTCATTAGTTGATGCAATTTTTTCATAGTGTCAATGGTCTTTATAATTTGGTATGTTTTTGCAGTGGCTGTTACCAGTTGTTCCTTTCCGTGTTTAGTGCTTCCTTCAGAAGCTCTTGTAAGGCAGGCCTGGTGGTGACAATATCTCTCAGCATTTGCTTGTAAAAGATTTTATTTCTCCTTCAATTATGAAGCTTAGTTTGGCTGGATATGAAATTCTGGCTTGAAAATTCTTTTCTTTAGGAATGTTGTATATTGGCCCCCACTGTCTTCTGGCTTGTAGGCTTTCTGCCAAGAGATCCACTGTTAGTCTGATGGGCTTCCCTTTGTGGGTAACTCAACCTTTCTCTCTGGCTGCCCTTAATATTTTTTCCTTCATTTCAACCTTGGTGAATCTGATGATTTTGTGTCTTGGGGTTGCTCTTCTTCAGGAGTATCTTAGTGGTGTTCTCTGTATTTCCTGAATTTGAATGTTGGCCTGTCTTGCTAGGTTGGGGAAGTTCTCCTGGATAATATAGTTGAGAGTGTTTTCCAACTTGGTTCCATTCTCTCTGTCACTTTCAAGTACACGAATCAAACATAGATTCAGTCTTTTAACATAGTCCTCTATTTCTTGGAGGCTTTGTTCTTTTCTTTCACTCTTTTTTCTCTAATCTTGTCTTCTTGCTTTATTTCATTGAGTTGATCTTCAATCTCTGATATCCTTTCTCCTGCTTGATTGATTCAGCTATTGATACTTGTGTATGCTTCATTAAGTTCCTTTGCTCGGTTTTTCAGCTCTATCAGGTCATTTATATTCTTCTCTAAACCGGTTATTCTAGTTTACAATTCGTCCTACCTTTTTTTTTCAGGCTCTTAGCTTCCTTGCATTGGGTTAGAACATGCTCCTTTAGCTCGGAGGAGTTTGTTATTACCCGCCTTCTGAAGCCTACTTCTGTCAATTCATCAAACTCATTGTCTGTCCAGTTTTGTTCTCTTGCTGGTGGGGAGTTGTGATCTTCTGGAGGAGAAGAGGCATTCTGGCTTTTGGAGTTTTCAGCCTTTTTGCACTGGTTTCTCCCCATCTTTGTGGATTTATTTACCTTTGTTCTTTGATGTTGGTGATGTTGAGACTATTCCTTTCTGTTTGTTAGTTTTCCTTCTAACAGTCAGGTCCCTCTGCTGCAGGTTTGCTTGAGATGCTGGAGGTCCACTCCAGACCCTGTTTGCATGGGTATCACCAGTGGAGGCTGTTGGAAATGCATGAACCACCTGCCTTCTGTGTTGATCTCATTGGGTGCTGCAGGCCGGAGCTGTTCCTTTTCAGACATCTTGCCAGCCCTCCTGTAATACTTTTATGAATTGGTGTAGTCCTCTCTTCTCAAGCTCCCCAAATAACTTAAGGTTCCTGGGCCCGTCAGAAATTGACATTCTTTACTTCTTACCACAAGGACAGCAACTTTCTAAATGACCCTTGTAGACAGGACACCAAGCCAGTCATTCTAAGGGGCTTTGTATTGGTGCTATAGAGTCAACCTCAATTCCTTAAAGTGGTCTGGTTGTATCTGCCGTTCGAGTTAAAGCCTTGATAAAACAAACAGTGTCTCCAATTGAATCCTGTTACCAAAAACAGATTCTTATTGAAATTATGCAAATAATTATATTGCCATAATTTAGGAATGCTCACGAATGGCTTCTGAATTCTGGAGAAATCAGTTAGAGAGACAGATAAATGGCTCAAATTTTTGTTCACAATGTAGTTTATCTAATGTATGGTAAGTTAAAAATAGCTGAAAAGAAAAAAATTCTTGACTTTGGAAAACAAAACGTAAAGAGAATCAACAATGTTTCCTATGGAAGGGCCATGAATAAAATCTTTTCCTTCTTTTATAAGTTCAGTCCCATGTAACTAAATCTTGTTCTGCTTGATTTCAAATAGCAATTCTCATTCAGTTTTTTGTGTTTTGCTTGATTTCAATTGGAAATTCTCATTCAGCTTTTTAGAGTCCTGGAAGATTTTCCTAGTCCAACAGAATGATCCCCAAAGTTATCTGAGACCATATTTAAGAGAACTTGTCAGAGTCCTTTCCATTAAAAGTAATTTAGATGATAGCTGATTGTAAAGGCTTTTTTTTTTTGAGACATTGTCTGGCTCTGTCACTCAGGATAGAGTGCAGTGGCATGATCTTGGCTCACCGCAATCTCTCCCTGGTAAACTCAAGCCATCCTCCTACCTCAGCCTCCAAAGTAGCTGGGACCATAGGCATGCACCATCATGCTGGCTAATTTTTGTATTTTTGTAGAGACAGGGTTTTACCATGTTGCCCAGGATGCTTTCAACTTCTGAGTTCAAGCAATTCACCCACCTCGGCCTTGCAAAGTGCTGGGATTTTTACACGCATGAGCCACCATGCCCTGCACCATGCCCAGCACCGTGCCCTGCACAGCCTCCAGCAGCATGCCTGGCCTGTAAAGGGTTTTAGAGAAGAACTTTAAACAATCACCGTGGATGAAAAAAACTTAGAATATCCTTTGGTTAAAATCCAGTGGAAGTTCTCAACTGGAGAGAAAATTTAGTTATTTCTATTATATGTAGCATTTTAAGATAAAAGCCAGAATCATGACTGACGGCAACACATCAGATCCATCAGACTTCCACAAATTTTATATAATCTTTAGAATATTTATATTAATAATATATCTATACATATACAACTTTAGAGAATATTTAACAACATCAAAATTATGACTGATACCATATTAGATTTTTATAATTTATATAACATTTAAAATATTTATATTAATAATATACCTATAAATGTAACCAAAAGAAGATTTAGACCAGGCACAGTGGCTCATGCCTGTAATTCCAACACTTTGGGAGGCCAAGTTGGACAGATCATCAGAGGTCAGGACTTCGACATCAGCCTCGCCAACATGGAGAAATCTTGTCTCTACTAAAAATACAAAATTAGCCGGGCATGGTGGCATGTGTCTGTAGTCCCAGCTACTTGGGAGGTTGAGGCAGGAGAATCGCTTGAACCTTGGGGCAGAGGTTGCAGTGAACCTAGATCACACCACTGCACTCCAGCCTGGGTGACAAAGCAAGATTCTGTCTCAGAGAAAAAAAAAAGAAGATTTAGACTTATCTTTTGGCAATGCTTCCCATACAAAGTTATCAACTAAATTTTAGCAAAGATGTAAAAAAATTGAAAACATTTGACTAAAACAGAATGACAGTTTATTGTTTTTTATTTTATTATATATTTGAGACAGGGTCTCACCCTATTGCCCAGGCTGGAGTGCAGTGGTGAAATCATGGCTCAATGCAGCCTCAACCTCCCAGGCTCAGGTGATCCTCCACCTTAGTCTCCCAAGTAGCCAGGACTATGAGCACTTGCTACCACACCTAGCTAGCTTTTGTATTTTTAGTAGAGATGGGGTTTTGCCATTTTGCCCAGGCTGGACTTGAACTCCTGGGCTCAAGTGATCCACCCACCTTGGCCTCCCAAAGGGCTGGAATTACAGACATGAGCCGCTGCACACAGCCACATGTCATTTTTAAATAACAGTCATTCATTTAATTAGCATGACAACCAAAAGACATCAAAAGCAACATAGAAGGTTACATGGATGTGAAAACTGAAAACCCTCAGTTTTCCCAAGTAATTAAAAAAAAATAAAGGCAACACATGGATTATCTTGATAAAACCTAAAATCTTTATTACAGGCCAGTCATTTAAAGGGTAAAACTCCTGTGGCATAACTGTGTCTTCTTACGGGAAGCTAATTTAAATCACTTGGAAGTCAATTCCGATGATAAGGAGACTTGAATTTAATTAGACATAGAAAGAGTGTGTCCAGGGTCATGAGTGAGCATAATATTACAAAGGAATGTAAACAGGAAAACCAGAGCATAGAGCAGTGGGGATCCATAGCTCACAATGATAGCATGGAAGTTTCCTGGTTACATGAAGTAATTAAGACATATTTAAAAGCTAAGAGTACAAAATTAGACCTGATGAAAAATCTGAAGGAGTTATCATCGCAGCCAAGCAGGAAACCCAAACCTTTTATTCCTTCTCAAGAAGGAACAGGAGACAATGATGTGATCTGTGAGTCATGTGTAACATGAAAGTACAGGAAAAGTTGAACTTCTGATATACAAATCTGAAAAGTTTTTATAGTAACAGATTTCAGGATTAAAAGTCAATATTTATTACCTCTTATTATGAGCAAATAAATACCTTAAGAAAACCTTGTTGTTTTAACCAAAATTTTTAGTTTTTTATCACTATGTTTTTAATATTACAGCTAATTTAAATAAACTTTATAAACAATCTATCTGATCTCAATCAGTTTTGACCTCGATGTAAGATTTACATAAACTTTTAATAACCTTGTATAATTTTTTCATCTTTCCCAACTTTTTATACACATTTAGTTTTATCTATCTTTTTTATTCCTTCAATTTAAAAAAATCCTTAAAAATCTCTAAGCGAATTTACTTTTTCTGAAACAAAAACCGGTATACATTTTGCATATAGAATTGTTTCTCTTGTATCTAGTAGTCTTAATCACATATATCTAGCAAGATATTAACACTTAGTAACCCTTATTTTAAGAAAAAACCTAGGAAGCAAGAAATCTTGAATTGTCATATAGCAGTATCTTACATATGAGAATAATTTCATAATTTAGAATTATGTGTTCCTAAAACATATTTTTTAAGATGGATTTTCGCTCTTGTTGCCCAGGCTGGAGTGCAATGGTGTTATCTCAGCTCACTGCAACCTCCGTCCCCCAGGTTCAAGCAATTCTCCTGCCTCAGCCTCCCAAGTAGCTGGGATTACAGGAACCCACCATCACACCTGGCTAATTTTTTGTATTTTTTAGTAGAGATGGGGTTTCACTATGTTGATCAGGCTGTTCTTGAGCTCCTGACCTCGGGTGAGCCACCAACCTTGGCCTCCCAAAGTGCAGGGATTACAGGCGTGAGCCACAGTGCCTGGGCTAAAACATAAGTTTTAAATTGGAAATAACCCAGATATTTAATGAGTATCTATTATTTAATTTAACATAACTAAAATTTCAAAAATAGGCTGGGCATGGTGGCTCACACCTGTAATCCCAACACTTTAGGAGGCCAAGGCAGGAGTATCATGAGACCAGCCTGAGCAAAATAGTGAGATGCTGACTCTACAAAAAAAATAAAAGTTAGCTGACCATGGTGGTGCATGCCTGTAATTAACAGCTACTTGGGAGGCTGAGGTGGGAGGATCCCTTGAGCACAGGAGGTCAAGGTTGCAGTGAGCTGTGATCATGCCACTGCACTTCAGCCTGGGTGACAGACAGAGACACTGTCTCAAAAAAATTTCAAAAATACATTAAGATGTCTTGTATAGACATTTATCCATTTACATTTACTTATTTTTGACAGTTTATCTAGAGTATTTGTGAGAACTGAGGTATTAGACAAAGCTAGTCATCATTTCTAGGTTTTTTTCTTGTTAACCATGTTATAGCCTGTGAATATCAGGTGTTCATGTAAGTGAGGACTTCAAAGTTAAATACATGTGTATTTTACCAATAACTCAGAAAATTCCATTATTTTTGTTCAACAAACCGTATTAAATTGGTCTTATGTATTTAAAAAATCACATAAACAAATATTCTTTTTTTCTGTGTTTATAGTTTTATAACCTTCATGCCAAACCCTAGCACCTTAAAATATCTAGCAAATGTAAATATAAAACACAGTCAAAAATGTATGCCGACAATTCTGAAGACATTTCTATTTTTATTTTATCAATACTTTTTAAATTATTTGTATTTATAAAAGAACTCTCTTTTATCTGGGCACAATGGTTCATGCCTGTATCCCAGCACTTTGAGAGGCTGAGGCAAGAGGATCACTTGAGCTCAGGAGTTTGAGACCAGCCTGGGCAACATAGTGAGACCTAATCTCTACTAAGAATCAGATAAAAAATTGCCAGGCATGGTAGTGCATGCCTATTGTACCAACTACTAGAGAGGATGAGGCAGGAGGATTGCTTGAGCCTGGGAGTTTGAGATAACAGTGAGCTATGATCCCACTACTACACTCCAGTCTGGGGAACAGAGTGAGACCTTAGAGTGAGACCTTATCTCAAAAAGAGAAAAAAAAATAAAGAATTGTTTCATTCTTTTGTTTTTCTTCAGCCAAATAACCTTGAATTGGTAACACCACAGACAGTAAGTCTTATCTCAACACCAGTAGACAAATCAGCAGATTCAAAGTAGGCAGGGAAAAAAAATAGATAGGCAAAAGAACTGAGAATTTTTCATTTTAGGGTTTTTAAAAATAGTAACTATTTGAGTTCTGAATTTTCTTTCATGTAATTTGGCCATCAGGTTTAAAGTGTGCGTGTAATCCCAACACTATGGGAGGCTGAGGCAGGTGGGTCACTTGAGGCCAGGAGTTTGAGACCAGCCTGGCCAACGTGACAAAACCCTATCTCTACTGAAAATACAAAAATTAACTGGGTGTGGTGGTGTGCACCTGTAGTCCCAGCTATTCAGGAGGCTGAGGCAGGATAATCACTCAAACCTGGGAGGCAGAGGTTGCAGTGAGCCGCGATTGTACCACCATACTCCATCCTGGGCAACAGAGCAAGACACTACGTCAAAAAGAAAAGGAAAAAAAAGTATATATATATATATATATATATATATGTATGTATAGGCTGGGCACAGTGGCTCATGCCTGTAATCCCAGCAGTTTGGGAGGCCAAGGCAGGTGGATCACTTGAGATCAGGAGTTTGAGACCAGCCTGGCCAACATGGTGAAACCTCATCTCTACTAAAACCACAAAAATTAGCTGGGTATGGTGGCGCACACCTGTAATCGCAGCTACTCAGGAGGCTGAGACAGGAGAATTGCTCGAACCTGGGAAGTGGAGGTTGCAGTGAGCCAAGATCACACCACTGCACTCCAGCGTGGGCAACAGAGCAAGACTCTGTCTCAAAAAAGTGTGTCTGTTTGTGTGTGTGTGTGTGTGTGTGTGTATGTGTGTGGCTAGAATGGTCCATAATATATAGCCAGCTCGAGTCCCAGAAAACCTAGCAAGCTTAAGGTTAGAGCTTCTCATTTTGGCCTTTTCAAGATTAAATCTCCTTTAGTAAGCCCTTCCCCTCTAGGGAGGTACTTGCCGGAGCTCTGCCTGAAGTTGGTTTTCTGATGCCCTGTTTTTTCTGTTCTGAATGGTTTATTTCTCATTATAAGAGCTCAGCAAAGCAGGCAGAGTTAAAAAGCAGAGACATGAAGGCTTTAAAATCATGGACTTCACTCCTACACTGAATCTCAGGTCCCCAGAAAGACAGAAACACCATGGGACCACAGCAAAGGCAGAAGGAGGAGTGAGAGAGGGAGGTGGACAGAACAACCAACAGGAGTTGGCTCTCATTTTTTCACGCGTGCCATTTTCTTTAGGTTTTTCTAGTTTATGGAGTCTCTTTGTTCCAGTTGAGCACACAGATAAACTAGAGCTCTCACAAGGCTTTTGCTGAGAACATCAAAGCCTTTAACCTCTGTTGGGCCAAATATTTAGACCAAAAATACAGACAGACACACAAAAGCCAGAACCAGACCAGATTGAGTATCTCAGTGGCTACAGCCTTTATTCCCTTTATTCTTTAGGATACGAACTCAAACAAGATTCAGGGTTCTAACCCAACCAGGACCCCCCTGGGGTGAAACTGAAACCCCACAGTCTAGACAAGGCTGGGGGTCTTTTTTTATTTTTTATTTTTGTTGAGATGGAGTTTCACTCTTGTTGCCCAGGCTGGAGTGCAATGGTGCAATATTGCTTCACTGCAACCTCCACCTCTCAGGTTTAAGCACTTATCCTGTCTCAGCCTCCCAAACTGGGATTACAAGCTTGTGCCACCATGCCCAGCTCATTTTGCATTTTTAGTAGAGACGGGGTTTCTCCATGTTGGTCAGGCTGGTCTCAAACTCCCAACCTCGGGTGATCCGCACACCTAAGCCTCCCAAAGTGTTGGCACTACAGGCATGAGCCACCACGCCCGGCCTGCTTGTTCTTTTCATTTCATCCTGATCTCCGAATACAGGAGAGTAGCTGATTTGGTGTTCGCTAACAAGCACAGAAGCTTTGTTACATTTACAGTGTCATTCTTGGCAAAACCTGAAGTTTTGACTCCCAGTTTCATGCCATTCTCCTGCCTCAGCCTCCTGAGTAGCTGGGACTATAGGCGCCCGCCACCTCACCCAGCTAATTTTTTGTATTTTTAGTAGAGACGGGGTTTCACCGTGTTAGCCAGGATGGTCTCGATCTCCTGACCTTGTGATCCGCCCACCTCGGCCTCCCAGAGTGCTGGGATTACAGGCGTGAGCCACCGCGCCCAGCCAGAAGCTCTAATTTCAATGATGATTGTGCTTTTTATCTCTTCCTCAGCATCTGGCTCATGATAAAATTTCAGGTGTCTTGATGGTATCTAAATCAGTTGTTGATTCAGTCCTGGAGAAACACAAGCATAACCTCTATGCCAAGTTATAATTTTACCTATTTCCCAACTTTTTGTTATTGGATCTCTCCACCAAACCAGTTGTTCTGCTTCTGTCTTTGCAGCTGGTTTCTGTAGATGCTGTTCAGCTGCTGGTAACATCTGGCCTTTGGGCAGGCTCAAAAATTTGAAAGTTAATAATGCAAGATTCAATTGTGTATGGGCTATCCCGTAATCCCTGTTTCTCCCCCTTTTTTGTTTTTATTATCAGTTGTTCATCTGTATGAAATCTTAACTGAGCATTTTCAATTAACTGTGTGGAATGACCCATGTATGAAGAATCAGAAATCACATTACCAGGCATATCAAAAGCAGTCAATACCTCAATTACAGCTACAAGCTCTGCCTTTTGAGCTAAAGTATAGGGTGTCTGGAAAACTTTACCTTTTGATCCAGAATAAGAAGCTTTACCATTACTAGACCCATCTGTGAAACAATGAAAACGCTTAGCAGGCTGCAGGTTGTTTACTGCAGGAATTGTAAATGCAAACGGTTCACAGTCTAGCTCAGCTAAAAGGGTAGTAAAGAAACAGTCTTTTAAATCTGTGACTATTAAAGGCCAATTTTTTGGAATTATAGTAGGAGAAGGCAATCCTGGCTGTTATGTTTCCATAGGTTGTATAACTGAATTGATGGCTCTTAAGTCAGTTAACATTCTCCATTTACCTGATTTTTTCTTAATTATGAAAACTGGAGAATTCCAAGGGGAAAATGTTGGAGCTATGTGCCCATTTTCTAATTGTTCAGTAACTAATTTCTCTAAAGCATCCAGTTTCTCTTTGCTTAGCAGCCATTATTCTATCCAAATTGGCTTATCTGTTAACCATTTTAAAGGTATAGGTTCTGGAGGCTTAACTATGGCCACCATCAAAAATGGTATCCTAATCTTTGGCAGGAACTTTGTCTTTCCGTTTGAAGCAGTTCTTTCAAACCTTGCAATTTTTTTTCTACTCCTATACCAGGGACATGCCCCATTTCGTGCATCATATGTTGATTTTGAGGGCTGTGTAATTGTTATGGAATTAGAACTTGTGCTCCCCATTGTCATAATAAATCTCTCCCCCGTTAATTTATAGGTACAGAAGTTGCAATTGGTTGAACAGTCCCAGGTTGTCCATCGGGCCCTTCACAATGCAAAGTATAGCTACTTTGATACACTTCTAAAGCTTTAGCAGTTTCCACTGTGTTAAATTGAGTAGGCTGAATTGGCCACATGGACGGCCAGTGCTATAGAGAAAAAATTGAAATGTCCACTCCTACCAAAAAAAAATAGTATCTACCAAACCTTTAAAGTTCTTTCCCTGGATAGTTATTTCACAGATAGGATGTTTATCAGTAATTTGATTTACCCAATAAGCTGCCTTGCCTTTTTTATTTGTGCTTCCAAATCCTCCAGTTCATTTAATTTCACTTTTTCCCATTCCCACATACGGCTCACTCAGGAGCTGTGCTATGCGCACTCCTGGCTGTGCTTTCCAGGGAACAGAACTAAATATCACAATTTGAATTTCCTCATTGTAATCTGAATCAATGACTCCAGTGTATATTTGTACCCCTTTTAAACTTAAACTAGACCTTCCTAAAAGTAATCCCATTGTCCCTGCTGGCAACGGTCCACAGACTCCTGTTGGGACCTTTTGCGAGGGTTCCCCAGGCAGAAGGCTCACAGCTATTGTGCAGCAAAAATCTACTGCAGCACTATGGGCTGTGGTGGGGGACAGATAACGTATGGGGGTGAGGGAATGGCCTGAGCTGGAAATGCCCTGGTTTAGAACAGGGCCTGGGATGGGCCCCTCAGGGAGTTTCCCAAAATCGGGTTCAAATCTTTATCAAACTTAGAGTGACACTGATTAGCCCAAAATTTCCTTTTTTACATTTTGGACATATTTCAGGGTCAGCAGTTTTCTTTTTCCCCTATCTGGTGGCCTGACTCGGTGATTTTTTTTTTACATTATTTTTAGTATGACCACGCTTCCCACAGTTAAAACAAGCTCCAGGAAATAGAGTATTTCCTTTATCCACTCTCAGTCCTGCCATCGCCTGTGCCAACAAAGTAGCTTTATGTAGATTATCTCTGATATCATCACAGTCCTTGTTATAATCAACTAAATGTGCTTTCCCTCTGATAGGTCACAGAGCAGCCTGGCAATAAGGATTAGCATTGTCAAAACCAATAACTGCAACACTATATCCTAAGCAGCCAAATCTGCAATCATCTTTTTAAGAGACTCCTGTAACCAAGCTATAAAATCCACATATGGTTCTCTTGGTCCCTGTTTTATAGCACTAAAGGAAGGGTATTGTTCTCCACATGAAGTGATTTTTTCCAAGCTCTAATGCACACTCCTCTAAGCTGTTCTATGGCATCATCCTGCATGACCACTAGTGCATGTAAACCAGCCCAGCCACCAACCCCCAAAAGTTGGTCTGCAGTTATATTAATCTGAGGTTGGGCCCAGGAATTGCGAGCAGCCTGAATGGAAGCTTCATCTGCCTACTAAGTTTTAAACTGTAAGAACTGAGCAGGAGTTAGACAAGCTCGAGTAAGAGTGTCCCAGTCAGTAGGAATCATCCGACTGGAAACAGCAACATTCTTTAACAGTCCCATTTCAAAAGGAGAACCTGGTCCAAACTGATTTATAGCTTGTTTAAATTTTTTGAGTAATTTAAAAGGAAAAGGCTCAAATGTAGCTATAATATTTCCCTGTTGATCTGGGGAGTGTATTCAAACAGGGAACTGCCAAGCCTCTAAATCCCACTTTTGTCTAGCTTGCTGTATTCCTGCCTGAATAGAACTAAGAGCAGTCGCTCAAGGCGCTGCTCGAACAGTCACCAGGGCAACTACTTTTCACCCAGTGTCCTCCAGAAAAGAAAGATCTGGAGGGTCGTTTTCTTCAAAATAATAATGACGGTGTGCAGAAGGGTAGGGATGAACCTCTCCCTCCTTTTATGCTTTAGCTTTAGGTGACAAATAAACCTGGTCTGTAACCTCTACTGTTACTTTGTTATACTCTCCTTTCTCCTCATCATCAGTGTGAAAAAGTTCCAAGGTAGAACGAACCACAGCCCACACTTGTCCTATTGCTACCCTGATGCTTCAGAGCTCCCCTTCTAACTCACCACGGGGATTGCTTTAAGAGTACTCGGGTGTCCTCCAGCTAGTTCCACATTCTCCAATCGTTGCTCCAGTGATCCTTTGACCTGTATTCGAGTCCCCATGTATGGGCACCACTTGCTGAGACCAGGTCTGTTGGAGAAACCCTAACCCAGCAGCACTAGAGGAATTAAAGACACACACACAGAAATATAGAGGTGTGAAGTGGGAAATCGGGGTGGGGGGTCTTACAGCCTTCAGAGCAGAGCCCTGAACAGAGATTTACCCACGTATTTATTAACAGCAAGCCAGTCATTAGCATTGTTTCTATAGATATTAGATTAACTAAAAGTATCCCTTAATCTTAAGGCACAGATCATTCATACTATTGTTTGTGGCTTAAGAATGCCTTTAAGTGGTTTTCCACCCTGGACGGGCCAGGTATTCCTTGTCCTCATTCCAGTAAACCCACAACCTTCCAGCGTGGGTGTTATGGCCATCATGAACATGTCACAGTGCTGCAGAGATTTTGTTTATGGCCAGTTTTGGGGCCAGTTTATGGCCGGATTTGGGGAGGATTGTTCCCAACAGTTCTTCTGGGTAAGGGTGCCCTAACTCCTGTGGGGACCTTCTTTGGTGGCTCCCCAGGAAGTAAGGAGATGGGAATTGTGCTGTAGAGGTCTACAGCAGCACTGCTTGCTGAGGCGGGGGACAATTGCTATACATTTGTAAGGGCAGTGGCTGTGCTGGGTTTGCCTCAGTTTGTTGAGAGGCTTGAGGCGGGTCCCCCTTCCTATTTCCTGAAAGAGGTTGTCCATCTTTGCTAAATTTAGAATGACACGGACTTGCCTAGTGATTGTCTTTCTTACACCAGGGACGTACATTGGGACTTTTCTGTTGATTGATGGTAGTAGTTTTCGTCTTTTGAATTCCTTTCTACATTCCTTTCTTGTGTCCAATTTGCCCACAATTAAGGAAAGAGCCTGAGAAATGAAGCATATTTTTTCCTTACTCTTAATCTAGCCACAGCCTGAGCTAAAAGAATAACCTTATGTAAGTTATCTCCAATGCCATCGCAAGCCTTAATATATTTAGTTAAATGGGCCCTCTCTGGGATCTAATAGCAGTTTGACACTGTGTATTAGCATCATTGTATGCAAGAAGCTGTATTACAACATCCTGAGCTGTTTTGATCATTTACGGCTTTATACACAGCCTCTTGGAGCTGAGCAATAAAATTAACATATGGTTCTTTAGGTCCTTGTCAGACAGAACTGAAATAAGGATACTTTTCCCCTGTAACATTTATCCTTTTCTATGCATGTAAGCACATGAAGCACAGCTGAACAATGGCAACTTCTTCCATTAGTGCTTGATTCTCTAATCAACCCCAGTTAGGGCCAACTCATATTAACTGATCAAAGAAAACAGGCACAGGTGGCTGCACTTGTGTGTTTTCTTTTGCCTGAGTTTGAGCTTCATCAGCCTACCAAGTTTTAAACTGCAAGTACTGAGATGGAGTGAGAACAGGTTTTGTCAAAGTATCCTAATTATATGGTAGTAATCTATTATCAAGAGCCATATTTTTAAATAAAGTTTGCACAAAAAGAGAGTTCAGTCCATATTGACTAATGGCTTGCTTAAATTCTTTAGTAACTTAAAAGAGAAAGCAGCCTAATTAGCTATATTCTGTCCTACTTGCTGGATTATAGTAACGGGAAATTGCCATGCTTCAAGGTCTCCCTTGGCTTTAGCTTTTTGAATAGAATTTTGTCTACCACCACCAATTGCTCCAGATTTTAATGTTGTAACTACAGGAGCAGTAAGTTTTTCAGCCAATTTATTTTCTCACCCATTTAGAGGAGAGAGAGGAGGTGGTCATTCACTTAATTCGGCAGGTGGAGCCAACGGGCTAGTAAAACATACTTTTAAAAGTTTTTCTTTCTTTTCTTTAATCTCCTCTGGTAGCTGCTCCCCACACTCAGAATTTGAAGTTAGTTTTTTACACTCATCCTCCTCTTCCTCATCTGAGTCTGCCTCATCATCTGTTTGAAATGGCTCAAGGGCTGCCTTTATTAGTGCCCACACTGACCATACAGAACCTGGAATTTCTGCTCCATCTTTATATGCCTTTTAAAAAATCTCTTCCAATTCTCTCCCATTCATCCAACTTCATAGTCCTTTGTTGTGGAAACCATGGGCAAAACTGCTTTACTGTACTAAAGAGTGATAACAAATTCTAAGTACTAAATTTCATTCCCCATCTTTGTATGTCCTCGGGTGTCTTTTGATGTTGTGTCCTCTGCTTTCACATGCTCCAGCCTTACTTCACCGGGTCTTTGTCACCCCATGTTGGGTGCCAGGAATGTTGGGTTGATCAGACCCAACACTAGGTCATGGGGGTGATGAAGTCCGGCAGAGTCAAAGGAATGAGAAAAAGACAGTTTGAGAGAGAAAGTGGGACCAGGAGACCATCATGAGTGTGGAGTCTGCAAAGTCCCCAAGCTCTGGGAGCCTACGCTATTTGTTGGTGCTCAAACAAACAGGTGGTGAGGATTTAAGGGTTGAAAAGAAACGGTGTATCAAGTGAATGAGAAACATATGGCCCTGCCTCAGCTTCTCTTCCAACACTCAGCTTTTCTCCCAACACATTCCCCTTATGAACAGGAATAAAATAGGGATGCCTGTTCTCACCACTCCTGTTTAACAAGTCCTAGCCAGAGCAATCAGGCATGAGAAAGCGATAAAAGGCATCCAAATAGGAAATGAAGACAAATTATCTCTCTTCACTGATGATATGATTCTACACCTAGAAATCCATAAAGACTGTGCCAAAAGGCTCCTAGAACTGATTAAAAAAATCTTCAGCAAACTTTCAGGATTAAAAAAATCAACATATAGAAAGAAGTAGCATTTCTGTACACCAAAAATGTTTAAACTGAGAGGTAAATCAAGAGTGCAATCCTGTTTACAACAGCAACCCCCAAAATAAAATAAAATAAAAGAAGAATATGTCTAAGCAAGGAGGTAAAGGATATCTAAAAGGAGAACTACAAAACACTGCAGAAAGAAATCATAGATGACAAAGCAAATGGAAAACTATTCCATGCTCATGGATTAGAATGATCAATATTGTTAAAATGGCTATACTGCCAAAAGCAATCTACACCTTCAACATTATTCCTATGAAACAACCAATGTCGTTTTTCACAGAATTAGAAAAAAAAAATATTCTAAATTTCATATGGATTTTTAAAGAACCCAGACAACCAAAGGAAACCTAAGCAAGAAGAACAAAGCTGGAGACATCACATTACTTGACTTCATACTATACCCTAAGGCCACAATAGACAAAATAGCATGGTAGCGATATGAAAACAGATACAAAGACCAATGAAACACAATAGAGAACCCCAAAATAAACATGCACCTACAGCCATCAGCTTTCCCAGGATAACACAAAGAGAGCCAAGTGGCACCTGCACATTACACTGTGGAAGAAAAACCCAAGCTCAAGAAACCCCAACTTGTATTATGGGAAGTTCACTTGGCTGTACCCTTCCCAAGAGGGAGAAATTATCTGCATTATACTAGACAGTAAATAAACTTTTCCTTTGTTCCAGAAGGAGGTACTGGCTTTCTATTCCAAGGCTGTTTTCTATACAAACATTCTTGAAAACAATCATTTGGAACAAGAAAGTCAGCGTCCAAACTTGCAAAATTGCGGAAATTAAAGAGACCCAAAAACTGTTTCTCTACCAATTTCTATTTTTTAAAAATCACATTTTCCCCATATAATATGCCTTTAATATGTGATCATATTCTGAAATTGTCTTAGCATTTACCCCCATTTCTGAGTCCAGAAGGATACAATAAATTTAATTTAATTTAGTAACACTTCAAATAGTAGTGATTGTAATAGCAGAGCTAGTTTGTAGCATAAAGAAAAAATAATAATATTATTAGGTGACACAAATAATGTTAACCACCTTTCTAAGTGTCATGGTAAGTACAGTGATTATTTCCTTTTTTTCTGACTCTTTTTTATTGTATTTTTTATTTTTTTTCCCATAGGTTATTGGGGTATGGTGGTATGTGGTTCCATGAATAACTTCTTTACTGGTTATTTGTGAGATTTGGGTGCACCCATCACCCGAACAGTGTACACTGCACCTTATTTGTTATCTTTTATCCCTCGCCCCCCTCCCTATTAAATAATAGACAAAAAATAATGGGTTTAGAATAAATGAGTTCAAATGAATTGTCAAATGTATGTGGGAAAAGTGGAATCAGTTTGTGAGGAAAAGCAAAAAACTCAACAGAAATTCTGATAAAGCATCATCCCTTCATGGCTAGAGCTACCAGGACACTAGAACACCAAAATCAGCTAGGGAAATTTTGTAGAAGTCCCAGATGTACTAAATGTTCTGTGAATACAGAGAGATATAATTATAACTGTTACCTGCATGTAGAGTAAAGATGAGAAGGCATTGGTCATGGTGGCAGCTACCTCAGGAGTTACAAAGCAGACGTGGTTCCAGGACAGTGTATGTCAGGGCAAAGCTGTCCTAGGAGGCTATTAGGAGCTGGTTACCGCACAGACATTGTAAGTCAGATGATCTCATTACTTTCAATGACAAAACCAAAATTACTTTTGTATCAGCCTAATACAACGGCCTGGCAAGAGCACAGAAAAAGTCCCTGTGCTGTTAGGTGGGGACCTCTGATGCAGCACAATTCCTTCATTCCCTTCTCCAAAACCCCCTCTTCCAATTCCACTGAAGAGAGAATCTGATGGAAGTGCTGTGTAAGCAGGCTCAGATATATCTACCACTATAGACAGTAGAGGTGATTCATAAATCCAAGCCTATCAAATACATCATAAATAAGTTACACATTTAATTTTTTTTTTGAAATTAGGGATCATGATATAAAAGTTATCAGAATCAAAACTGTCACTAATGTTTAAAAAGAAAAGAAAAAACCTGGACAAATAGATTCAGAGAAGGCCTTGAAGAGAGGGTTCTCGTGCTTCTAGGCCTGATACAAACTATCACAAAATACCACAAAATCCACAACCTTGCACAAAGGCCATAGCAACCTTACACAAAATACACTTCTGTGAGGACATCTGTCCAGCAACCACCTGCCCAAACTTCAACTGACATCGACCTTGTTGTTGATCTTTATAGTCAAAGATAACTATAACAAAACAATTATATAAGCCTCTTCATTTTTCCTTTATTTATTTTTTTCTACTCCCCCATAATTCCAGGTTGATCGCTTTTCTTTTAAAGACCTTGTCTTCCTTTACCATTTGAATCTACACAGTTTGCTTTGTCATGCATATTCCCATTGCAGTGCCCTCCTCCCTAAGATGTGTCTTTTTCCTTTAGAGAGCCTTTCTCTATTTGTTATTTAGGTTTACAATGAGAAGGCGTGTAAAGTATTTTTATTGTCTTCCTAGGAAAAAATCACTGACTTACAATATTTATATTTATTTATTTACATTCTTGTGGATGAGGAATTAAAGATTTCACAAGTTTTCTTATTGAGAAGATCGAAGTTTTCATGTGAGCAAAACTGAATATGTAAATTGATATGTAAATTATGCTGCAGATAATATGCTCAAATGTTTACTTGTATTTAATTTGTTACACATGAATATTGCATATGTAAGATAATATACTAAGAAATTATCACATTTAATGAAATGCTTTAATCAAATTCCTGATTGAATTTTTGATATCAATATCTTTTTCCTTGTTTAATCCATCTTTAGAGTGAACAGGGATGTCTAGGCCAAAGTCCTCACTTCTATCTAAATTGTCTGAGTTACAGAACTTTTTGAATTTATTATGTTGTCACAGGAAGTTTCTTATTGCTTGTTTAAAGGAGTCTCTCTCAATATGACGCAGAATCCAAAAGCACTGAAGGGCATATATCCTGAGTTTCTGTTACTGAAGCCAAAGGTTGCCAATTTCTTGTAGATCCTGCCAGAGTTAAACTTCATTTAAGTAATCATTAAAAGCTGCATTTATTCCCTCACTTGAACTTTTGATTTCACACTATTAGGACTAATCCTCTAAGTCTTTGCTAAGTTATGTTCCTCCTTTTCTTGTGGCTTGACTCTGATGCTCTCTATATGCAACATCAATTGACATAAAGTACATTCAGGGCAAGAGAATTTCTTTAAATATTACTTTGTTATTCAAAATAATCACAAAAGCACTCATCGTAGGAAAACTTGTGAGGACTCAAATATAGGGAAATAGTTTTTCTTTCTAAGGCACAATTCTCTAAAGAAGTTCACCTTAATTTGAATATACATGGGAAAATATCCTTGTTCACTAATAGTCTATATTCACTCTGTTTTCTTCCCTCATAGACCAGTCGGTTCACTGTTATTCTCCAAATGATGTGTGCCTCTCTGGAGTCCAGGCTATCTGCATATCTAATTTTTCCCACAAATTACTGTTTTGAATTGCACTGAATTCAATTCAAGGGGATGTTATTTATAAACAGTGCAAATATATACTGCACGAGGGATCTTTGAAATCATACACATGGTTTGATCCATAAGCTCATATGAGCGTGCAATGTCAACTTTTTTCATGTTTTTTTAAATCCACTTAAATTGTATTTTAAGCCACCATCTGCCTGTGCTGTTAGGGCAGTTAGCCTTAAATCATTTTAAGATGCTCCCCTCTAAGTACTGTGATAGTGATAGAGATATCACCAGTCAGGTGTCCTAGGAAGCCGACTCCGAGTTGGAGATTTGCATGCAAGGAGGTTGAAGTGATATTCCCAACACCTGTGGAAGAGTGAAAGCAATAGGATTGGGTGGAGCAGGAAGTCGGCTGGAATGCAATCACTATCATGGCCGCAGTCCACTCTACAAGGGTCTTGGTGAGTTTACCTAATGACCTCGAATTGGAGCAAGAGAACCAGGCTATTATATTTCTGTACCAAGCAGTTCTCGGATGTGGGATGCCTTGAGAAGGGACATGAACTTGGATGAAGGAACTTTACTGTGCTGTGAGTATTGTTGCCAGGAGTCAGCTGTCAACACTCCCAGGAGACGGGAAATTATGCTTTAGTCACTGAGGCGGCATGTAGTGTCAGACCACAGCCTTGTTAAACAGAGCCAGAATTTGGAGGATGGTTGGTGGGTTTAACATTTGGGGCTTGACATCTTGTCCCCACAAGCTGCTGCTGGCCTCTTCCTTGTCCATTTCTGTGTGACCTGTTTAGGAGCCCCAGCTTCCTGCTTCTTCTTTACCATATTTGGAATGCAAAAATCTACACGTAATTTGGCCCATGGACCCTTCTGCTTAGACATATCCTTGTAGCTATTTTTTTTAAAAGATGACTATGCCTTCTAGAATATTTCTAAGAAACTGCCTAAGTCACCACTGCTCACCAAGAGGCCTTTGTTTTTTCCTCTTCTTAACCATGGGAAAGGAATGTAGGAGGGTAGAGAGTGGATATTTTCTAACCTGGAAAAAACTCATTTTACCCTATATGATTTTTGTTCGCAAATTCCTTCTTTGCACTTACTCCACAATCTTTCCAAATTCTCCCAAATGCTCAAGCTTTTAAAAAACAAAAGACAGAAAGATAGCAGGTTATTAGGTTTTCCAACAAACCTTTTCGTTCTATTCCTTTACATCAGTGAGCTTAGAATAACTCTGCTCCTGGAACTGGGAAAGGCACTTGGGAAAAGAAAGAAAAAAAAAGCTCTCAAAGTTTAACATCACAAAACATTATAGTCACTGCTATTTTATTATTTATTTATTTATTTATTTATTTATTTATTTTTGAGATGGAGTCTTGTTCTGCCACCAGGCTGGAGTGCAGTGGTGCGATCTCGGCTCACTGCCACCTCCGCGTCCTGGGTTCAAGCGATTCTCCTGCTTCAGCCTACTGAGTAGCTGGGACTACAGGCGTGTGTCACCACACCTAGCTAATTTTTGTATTTTTAGTAGAGATGGGGTTTCACCATATTAGCCAGGATGATCTCGATCCCCTGACCTTGTGATCCACCCGCCTTGGCCTCCCAAAGTGCTGGGATTACAGGCATGAGCCACCGTGAGTGACCTTGCTTTGTAATTTTTACATCATATATCCCCTTTGTTAGACCAAGAGCTTGTAAAAGCCAGAAGACATACACCATTTATAGTTCAATTAGAGATGTTCACTGATAAAACTGATTCTTCCATCTGAGGGTGGTATTTGTAGTTACAGTAATGTAGATGACAATCTAAGTTATGTTCTATAAACTGTGTCACTGACATCTCAATCTACAGCTAACTTTAATTTTTTAAAAGCAGAGGAGTGGGTTGTATAGGTTTAGAAATACATTCATCAAGCTAGTTAAGTGAGATAGATTCAAACCTTCAACTCACTGGAATATTTACCAAATTGACTATTCATTAGCTAAAGGAGCCATATAAACAAGGTACTTTTTAAAATTCAAAATTATGTAAGGTTTTGTTTCCTTTTTATGCTGTTATGAATTGGATTGTAGAGGTTATAAGGTAAAATAAGGTTACTTTTACAGTAAAGCATACAACACATTGTCACAAGAGGGCAGCCTTTGAACATGAATTGCTTCTCAGGCATTCCTTGAAATTTTGAGACAGTTACTTTAATTAACACAACTAAATAATAAAACACTACAGAGGATCTAAGAAGATACTTTGACTTATGCATATTGTTATTTTTTTATTACTGCTAGTGGAAGATGTAATCTACAAGGAAGGCAAGGGCTGAATTTGTTTTATGTAAAAAGACAAATTTCTTTGGGTTTTAGCTTTCAAACATCAAGATAGTAGGTCAATGTCTAAATGAGTGTATCAAAGTTCTCACACTAGCACATGTAAATCCACCTCTTATCTACCCAAAACTCTAACCAAGCAAAGGCAAGTTGGAAGAATCAGACAAATGTAAGGGCCTAGGATACATAAATGCCACTGGATTTTATGTTTTTAACTTTCAACCTCCCAAGTTTCACTAAGAGACATGTTATTTGGAGAGGTTGCTAAAGTGTAGTTGTATGATGTCTCTGTGTACGGTTGGTCTGGACCTCTTTCTGTCCAGTGGTTGCCCTCAACTGATTAGAGTCACCTCTCTAAAGATCATGCTTACGTCCCTGGAGCAGTCCACAGCACTATGAATGTCTGACCTCCACCTTTTTCCAATTAATATTTCTGTACTTACTGAATTGGAAAACATACAGGTGTTTTTTGCCTGGACACTTGTGGTTTTACAACACTCCCCCCGCTTCCGCACCACTGCCCCAGGTGATTTTATTGCCAGCCAAAGTGTGAGAACTACTGGCAGCTGCTGGCAGACAGCAGCAAAGGCCCAAATCCTCTGTGTGATTTCAAGACCCCTATCTGGTTTTCAGCCATATTTCCTTCTCCTTCTCACAGCTGAGCCCACTCCTCCTCCCTCACCACCTGTAGGCTATGCTTTCCAGCCTGTGTCCAGGATTAGTCCTGATGTAAGGCACTTGGGGTTTAAGGATCTCTCTCTTCAGTCTTATTTCCGCACCATTGCTGACAGATATATTCCAGTTGTAATCATGGGGCTACCTCCTTTTCTTTCCAGTCCCATGCTCATTTTCTCTATCACATTCTACCTTGTAATAACCTAAATCTTCTGGTGGGCAAGCTTCTTCCTCAATCAAATTTGTGTTTATGATTGTGTTGGGGATTGGCTTAGTAATCCAGGTACTGCTGCTGCCTTGAAAGCGGAGACTGCATCCTTCTGTCTGGATATCTTGAGTTTCTGGATTGTAAACCTTATTAGGGCCCATTTTTCCTAGAATTGGAGCCTCTACTTTGTTCTTGCTACTTTAGTTCACCCAGAAAGCACGATCTCTGTCTGAATTTCAAAGTGTTGGCTAGCTTAAATATCCTTTTGTGAGACTTTCGTCTTCCTGCGGGGTGATTTTTTCATCTTACATACCATTGCTAATCTTTTTATCTTGAATGTAATTGAAATAGTTTTAATTTGTGTTACCAGCAACAAGAACCCCTTTTATGAGATGGAGAGGCCAGGTCAGTCTCATAACATGTGTCCCCCTCCGTGTGTTGAATTTATGTCAGAGCCAGGTTCTTTCCTATTTGACGTCTCTCACCAAATTCCAGTGTTTATGTCCTAGGAGGTGCCTAATAAATTCTAGAGTTGATACAAACTGCAATTTTAGAGAAATTAAATTAGCAAGTAGAATTAGATTATATACAACCTAATCAACTTTTTTTTTTTCTGAGGATGACCAAGATTTGGGCTTCAGTGACAATAGTTGTCCCCTAAATATTTATACTCAAAATCTAGGATCACCAGTACAATGTTGAATAGAGGTGATGAACACACACATCCCTTTCTTGTCCTAATCTATGTGGTTTAAACATTTACACTTTCACCATTAAATATAGTATTGTTTATATGTTTTGTTGTGGATGCTTTCCATCACTTCGAGAAAATTTCTTTATCTAGCTTGCTGAGAGTTTTTTTTTTTAAATCAGCAATAGATATATCTCCAAAGAAAATATCCACATGACCAACAGATACATGAAAAAAATGCTCAGCATCACTAATCAGGGAAATGCAAATCAAAACCACAAAGAGATATTGCCTCAAGCCCTTTAGAATGGTCTTATTAAAAGAAAAAGATAACGAGTGTTAACAATGGGGAGAAATTGGAACACTTCTACAGTGTTTCTGGGAAAGTAAAACTGTGCAGCCTCTATGGAAAACAGTACAGAGGTTCCTCAAAAAAATTAAGAAAGTAGAACTACCATATGATCTAGTAGTCTCACTTCAGGTTATTTATCTGAAAGAATGGAGATTGGGATGATTCTCAGGCTCATTGCAGCATTATTTACACTAATTAAAATGTGGAAATAAGGTTAATGTCTATTGGCAGATGAAAAGATAAAGAAAACGTGGTATATTCATACAACGGAATATTATTCAGCTTTAAAACAAGAAAGCCCGGCAATATGCAACATGGATGAACCTAGAGGACATTAATGCTAAGTAAAGTAAATCAGTCACAGAAGGACAAACTGTATGATTCCACTTGTATAAAGTATCTAAGATAGCCAAATTCATTAGAATCACAGATTAGAATGGTGATAGCTCTTTAAGTTGAAGTCAATTTTGCATTCCTAGGTTTTGTAATTTTGGTATCAGGATTCTGACTCATAACACAAGTTTGGAATTTCCCCCTTCTTTATTTCTGAAATAATTTAAAAAATTTATTTTTTTTAAACGTTTGAAAGAATTCACCAGTGAAATTCTTTAGATCTGGGGTTTGCTTATTTTTTTATTTATTTAATTTTATGTTTTTATGTGCAGGTATTTTACAATTAATTTAATTACTTTAATAAATGTCAATTACTTCATATGTTCCATTAAATCTTGTGAAATTTTTTATAAGTTTTTTTCAAGGAAGTCACCCTTTCATCCAAGTAATGAAAATTTGTATATAATGTTTCACAATATTCCATTATCTTGTTAATGTCTCTTGTGTCTACAACTGTACAATCTCATTAATCCCTGATATGTATAATTTGCGTTTTCTTTCTTTCTCACAGAACTAACTTTTGGCCATGTTGATTTTCTCCTGTTTCTGTTTTCTGTCTCATTGATTTCTAATTTCTGTTTTATTTCCTTTCCTCTACTTGTTTTGGACTTAATTTGCTCTCTTTTTTAGATTTTCTTTTTAAGGTAGAAAATTAGTTCACTTGTTTTGAACTTCTCTTTTCTAGAATAAGCATTTATACAAAAAATTTACTCTGGGTCTGCTTAACTTTATCCCATACATTTTGATATAGTATATTTTATTTGTATTCAGTTCAATGTATTTAAAGGTGTTTCTTATGATTTCTTCATTGAGCTAAAGGGCATTTTAAGGTGTATTTAAATCTTCCAATAGTGTAGACTTTCCTGGGTAGCTTGTTTTTACCCATTTCAACTCATTTTCATTATGGTCAGAAAGCATACTTTCCATGATTACAGTGTTTTGAAACTTCTTGAGAGATATTTTGTGGTCTATAGCCTATTGATAAATGTTTTATGTGTAGCATAATAGAACATATATTCTATTGTCTTGGTCAATATCGATTAGGTCAAGCTGTTGTCAAAATTATTTTATCTTAATTTTCTTTAGTTATTCTGTCAGCAATACAGCATTATGTCTTCATAATTACTTGACATTTTATCATTATGAAATAGCTGTCTGTTGTAATATTGCTCGTTTGGAGGTCTACTTTTTCTTATATTAATATAGCCACATAAGATTTCTTGTCCTTGTTTTTTCCTTGGTATACTTGGAAATTATTTTACTCTCAACTTATCTATACCATAATATTTGGCATGCATCTCTTATAGGTATTTTTATTATCCAGTTGGACAATCTGTGTTTTATTTGGAGTATTTAAATTACATTTGAAATAATTACTGAAAAGGTTGGATTTAAGCCTACTATTTTTGCTTTTTTTTTTTTTTGAGACGGAGTCTGGCCCTGTCACCCAGGCTGGAGTGCAGTGGCGGGATCTCGGCTCACTGCAAGCTCTGCCTCCCGGGTTCACGCCATTTTCCTGCCTCAGCATCCGGAGTAGCTGGTACTACAGGCGCCCGCCGCCATGCCTGGCTAATTTTTGTATTTTTAGTAGAGACGGAGTTTCACCGTGTTAGCCAGGATGGTTTCGATCTCCTGACCTCGTGATCCACCCGCCTCGGCCTCCCAAAGTGCTGGGATTACAGGCTGAGCCACTGCGCCCAGCCTATTTTGCTCTTATGTTCTATTTGCTCCATCATTTTTTGCTCCTCTTTCTTTCATGCCTTTTTATATTAACTGAACAATATTCAGCGTTCCATTTTAATTCCTTTATTGGCATTTTAGAAGAATATCTTCATATAATGTGGTGGTTCTCTAGGGATTATAATAAACATCCTGGGCTTATCGCAGTCCACTTAGTGTTAATAGTCAGCGTTTTCATGTAACATAAAGAAAAGTTGCGGCAAAATTGTTGCGTTTAGTCTCCTGTCAGAGCTATTAATTTAGAATATTTTACACATTATCAATAGTACACTTAATTTTTTATTCAAAGCATCAGTTGTTTGTTATAAAACTAAAAAAAAAAGCCTTAGTTTTTCACGTTTATGCACATGCCATTCCTAGACCTTCTCCTTGCTTCCTGTAGGTCAGAATTTCCATCTGTTGTTATCTTTCTTTAGCCTAAAAAATTTCCGTTTGCATTTCTTGTATCTAGGTCTGCTAATGACAATTGTTTGAAGCTTTCTTTTATCTGAATAAATCTTTCTTTTCTCAAGAATTACTTTATCTAGTTATAGAATTTGGAGTTGACAGTTTTCTTTTGAAGATGTAGTTTCATTGCTTTTTAAAGTGTCATTTCTGATGACAGGTCATCTGTCTATTTGTTTCCACGGATGTAAATTATTTTCTCCCTCCCTTTAGCTACTTTCAAGATTTACTCTTTTTTTTGCCCAGTGGTTTGACTATGGTATGTCTACATTTGGTTCTCTTTATTTTTATTCTGTTCTTTGAGTTTCTTAAACCTGTAAGTTGATATATGCTGACAATTAGGAAAACTTTTGGTCTTTACTTTTTCAAATAGCTTTTTCTGTCTCATTTACTTCTCTACTCTTTCTAGGACTCCAATTATATTAGTGCTAGACTGGCCCTATTTTTATTATTTTTCTTCCTTTGTATTAACTGTATTGGGAAATTGTTCTTGATCTGTTTTTAAGTGCACTGATAATTTTTTGTGCCATCTTTAATTTACTGGTATGTACATAAAATGACATTTTTATATAAGATATTCTGTCTCTCAGTTCTAAAATTTGTCCTATTATCTCTTTATCATTTTTACTTCTCTGTTGAGATTCTCCATATATTCCCTCTTATGACCATCTATTCCTTAAATCCTTGAATATGCTTATAATAGCTTATTTTAAATTTCTTATATTCTAATTCCAGCATGTGGGCCATTTCAATGTCTTAATCCATTGTTTACTTTTTTTGTTATGTGTCATATTTTCCTGGTTCTATGTCTAGGCAGGTTAAATTATATGTTAGATTATGTGTATGATATTTTGTAGAGATAGGTTCGTTTATTTTCCTTTGAAGAATGACTCTTTTCTAACATTAGTCTTCTTTCCGTAGTCAAACACCAAACTTTCACTCCTGAGCTATATGCAATGGTTGAAATCTCTGCTCTGTACTAGCAATTTAGCTGTTGTTTTCTGCTGGATTCTATGGAGTCTCCTTTTATGAATGTGAAATGTAGCAGCCATCATATATCTGAATGAAGTTGAAGTGCTGATTTTAGATTTTTACTCTGTGATATTCTCCTCTGTGACTTTCAGTTGTGTGAGATTTCCTCCCATGTCATTCAAATTTCCCAGTTCCTCTTTTCTGTCAGCCTGGAACTCTGTGCTCTTATTCCTCAAGCTAGTAAAACTCACCGCTTTACTCGTAGACATCTAATTTTGCACAGACTGGGAAGCATCATCAGGTGTGAAGTTGCATTGATGCAAATTTAAATCATTGCAATTTTCTTTATTCAATTGTCAAATACTTCATCATTAGTGGAGTATTCTACTATTTCTGCCTGTTTTCTGTTTCTCATTACCATCAAATGTGTATTTAATTTTTTTAGAGTTAATAGTTTTTTCCCTGCATTTGGGTTAGACCTGAGCTACTACCATATTTTGTAATTCAAACTTTTTGTCTAACAATGTTTTAGAAAACTCTTTATTTGGAGGGAATTCTCAAACTTCTAAATACTCTACAAACATTAGGATCAGTGCTCACATTCCCAGTTTCCCTTGTAGCCAGATGTACATATGGAACATGGCCTCAGCTAATGAAGCATACCCACATATTTGAAAGTAAGAAAAGTGTTAAGAGGAACTGTAGATATCATTTTAGTTGATGCAAGGATGGAAAAAAATAACCAACTTTCACTGGTGAACTTTGTCTTCAATCATTGTTTTCCCGTGGGTAAGTGGCTAATTTTCTGGCCTAGAGGTGGCGTTGGTGTGTTGGTAACAATTGATTTGATGATAACCTGCTTTTGTCTTTTTAAAAATTGCTAATCCACCATTGTTTCTGGTCCTGTTTTATATTTATACAGTGTATAATGTCTCATGCAAAATTTAGTTCTTTGTTTCTCAGCTTAAACTGGATTTTGATGAGCAGTTTTCACCTTCAAATGAAAGAAATGGCTTTGGTTGATGTTAGACAAAAATAACAAGAAGGAATTAAAGAAATATGTTTGTCCTCTTATACCATTAAATAAATGAAACTGAAAATTCAATAATTCTGCTTCATAAAAAAATAGAAAGTTTCTACTGTTTTTCATTATTTTTGAAGCTGTATCATTAAATGAAATTTCTGCCTCATGGAAGGTTTTTAGAACTATGTAATAATACCATACAGACCATTAGGAGAGAAATGAATAAAGACTGAAAGAAGTAAGCACTGTGTGGTAACATAGATGGTGCACAGTTGTGTGTGTGGAGCCCTAATACATTTGACCATGGAATTTATACAATAAATATTAGTTTCCTGTGAACCTGCTAATTAATATGACTTTTGCAGACATTTCCTTAACCTAAACAGTTTGGGTTTCCTGTATATAGACTGCATGTATTCTCACCTTTAACCTTTCCATAATCTTCCCTAATTACAGATGTCATTGGTTCTTAACAGCAAAAGAACAGCAGTAGCTTATAAAGTTATATTATTTGTTTTTTACTAATATGTGAAGTGATTTTGTCTTTCATTTCACCTGTAGAGCTAATTATGTCTTCTAGGTTAACAAAAATTCCAGATCATACCATCATTAGTTTAAACTTTACAATGAAATCATTATTTCCATTTATTACTAGCCTGCATTATAGCAATATTTAGCTAATAAATTATCAAAATATTACTTGAAAGGTGAAAGAGTACCTCAAGTAAATGGTGTAATTTATTTATTTATCAGAATTTTAAATTAATTGTTCTGTTTAATCTCAAAGGGGTACCAATGAAGTCAGGGCATAAGGACTCCATGGTTAATAAAATGGCAAGAATTAAAAAGGATTATTACATTTTTTCCTCATACTATGATGGCTATAATTTTTTAAAACAGTAGAAATGTTTAATTTTTAAAGGCTACTAGTGTCTATTTCATTCAAAGATGTGAGCTCTTCAGTTCAACTTGTTGTTTGAAATTTGAACAGCTTTTTCTTGCTCTTGTTCAATACAGTTATTTAACAGTCCAGGCAGGCCTCCGGAGTTACATATATGTATGTGGCTATGCGTGTATATATACACAGAAGTACAAATAGCATATAAACAATTTACATAAGACTTTTGCTTTTGATGAAAATTCTTCTAAAAGTGAATATAAATTAATAGCATATGGAGCCTACAAAAATTGTCTAATAGGGAACTAGGAAAAGATAATTTGTGAAGAAAGAGTTCGCTAAAACAGACTTTTTATTTTTACATGTAATAACTTTATATTGAAGGGTTTCCAGAAATATAAAATGTTATAGGGCACTTATCCTGAGACACACGAAGGAGACAAGGGACAGAGCTAGGATGGAAGTGAAAATAAAGGACAAATAGAGATAGATACTTAAGTGGAAATGAAACACTGCATGTTCTCACTCATAGGTGGGAATTGAACAATGAGAACACATGCACACAGGAAGGGGAACATCACACACCAGGGCCTGTTGTGGGGTGGGGGGAGTGGGTAGGGATAGCATTAGGAGATATACCTAATGCTAAATGACGAGTTAATGGGTGCAGCACACCAACATGGCACATGTATACATATGTAACTAAACTGCACGTTGTGCACATGTACCCTAAAACTTAGAGTATAAAAAAAAAAATCATCAAACAGGTGGTAATTTCAAAACATGGCTTTTCCAGGCAGCAAATTTTCTGAATGTATCGCAAAAGAAGATAAATTGTATGTCTATGTAGATCATGTCAATGAAATAAACAACAAAGTTACTTATTGGAATATTGAAAGTGGTTGATAATAAATAAATTATTTATATTTATGGTAAAAGCAATAAACTTGATTTTTAGGGGGTTCAATGACTTCCTGAAAATATCCTCTCACAGATTTTCTCAGAGTGTCTAGTTGGCAAAAGCACAGCTCCAAATAGCTATTTCTGTCAACGTCTACAGAACATTTACAGTTTGATTTCCAAAAGTTTCCATTTCTACTGACCTTACAAATTTGTAAAGTGAATGCCCACCAGGATAAAATATTAAGTAATAAAATTAATTGGATCCTACAAGTGAAAACCTAGGCAAGGAAAATCTTCTTCCTTCTTAATGAATGATTTTTATGTCTCTTCATTCTTGTCATTCTAGGTAAAGCAACACTCTGGAGACCTTCTTCTGAGGCATTTCACCACCAGAGTAAGTGTGATGTGTGAGTAATTAGTCCACCCACAGGGAGCTGGTGAAATTAAATGGGAAGTTATTTCCTAACTGGCATATCTTGGAGTAAAATTAATCTAATAACAGCTTTCATAAGAGAACATAAGCTTAAAAGACAACATTTTTCATTCAACTTTACCAAACAAAGTGCAAATTTAGGTGTCCAGTTGTGAAGTTTGGTTGTGTGTGGATTGCACGGTGAAGGTACCAGTGGACAACAGTTGCTCATCAAGCAAGTTTATACAAAAGCTTTTGGACAAGTCCAACTCTAGATAAAATTCGAAAGTATTTCATGCTTGTGTTCAGAGTTTCTTTTTCTCTCTCCAAGGTAACCCACATATCAAAAGACATATGGGTTGTGGGTAGAACTTCCTAAAATTGCTGGTGAGAAGTGTGCCATGCATAAGCATACTTCACTAGCTTGAATTTCCTGTTAGCCTCACAGGCAACAATTACAATCCTGTATGTTTTTCTATCTCCAGACACTCCTGAACATAAAAAGACCAAGTAACATCCCTGGTTAAGATGTGTACAGGTTACAAGACATGTCTAAATATATTCACCAAGAGGTTTATTATTTTCACAGTGGCATTCACTAAATCAGTTGTCAGTGTAGCATTACTCAAGGAATACCCAGGGTCTTTAATTTATCAAAGTTTGGAGTGCACCCCAAGTTGGATCACTGAAGCACGTAACTATAGATAAGGTCACTCAAAAGCACAAATCCAGGTAATAAATATTCACTAGTAGTTTATATGCATTTAGCAATTTGAATGCTTGAAGTGTAGCCCAGAAAATCAATCGACATGGAGCTATTAAAGAGGCATTCATGGCACCTGCACTTTGAATCTCTTCAGACTCAGGTTAAACAGGAGACATGGTAGCTCATATATACTGCAAAAACCCTTCCTCTTTCCCTTTTTATCTATGAACCTGCCCTTTTCAATGTTATATAGATGCCTGAAGGTATGAATACCCTTGATCTTGGTAAAAAATGGTACCACCCATTCAGCAAAATCTCACTGATCAGTGTCTATGTTACCTCACTGAGTTAGCCTTTTGTGTTGTTGTGGCCCAGAATGACAATGTTGACACAATCCAAACCAGTAGTTGGAAAGTTAATGTTGGATGCGTCTTTGACAATTGATGGAATGACCTGAAATCAAATGTGAGGCAGTGGAGACACAAGAATGCTATTCAGGAAGTTAGTGATCTGTGGAGATACTAAATGAAATATCTGGAAGGAATTGTAATCTTGCAACTCTGCTTTTATGTGTTTTTTGACATAAACAATTTCTATTTATGGTGGAGCTAGAGTGTCCATTTCCCATGAAGTTCCCATAGTGTTAACTAATACAGTCATGTGTCACTTAATGACAGGGTTGTGTCTGAGAAATGCATTGCTGGACAATTTTATTATTGTATGAACATCACAGAGTTTACTTACACAAATCTAGATGCTATAGCTGATTACATACCTAGGTTAGGTGGTATAGCCTATTCCTCCTAGGCTACAAACCTGTGCAGCATGTTCCTGTACTGAATACTGTAGGCAATTGTAACACAACAGTTAAGTATATCTATACTTACTTATATCTACACAGTAAGTGTATCTATACGTGTCTAAACATACAAGAGGTACAGTACAAATACAGTGTTATGATTTTATTGCACCACTGTCATACAAGTGCACTATCCTTGACCAAAATGTTGTTATGTGATGCATGATTGTAACAAAAGAATTAATTAAATATAATATCAAAGTGCCTATTGAGATTTCAATGAAGAAAGGAATATTTGTAAATTCTGATTACCTTAAGTGGGAATTGACTTTCTTCCTGTTTCCATGGCTGTTCTTGTGAAAGAGCATAGCTTTCCAAAGACCTGAAATCTCTGACAAATCTTGCAATTCTCTATAGCCTGCATTATGAAGGTCACCTGGTATCAAAAGGGGCAAAATGGTAGATTATAAAGACCTGTACTTTCTTGTCACTTCCTAAACATAGCAAGCATTGGTCTATCTTGAACATTTCTGCAGTTATAAATGAGCCTTGGGTCATGATTTTCTGCCTTTTTATCATAGACAAGATTTAATTTAGGAGATGTCCTTTTAATGTGTAATGTGAATAGTAAGTGACACTTATGAAGCCTATTTTCTTCCAGCCATTTTAATTGTCAAATCTGTCCAGTCAAGATGCAATGTTAGAGGCTTCACTGACAACACCGTCTGTGTGTGTGTGTGTGTGTGTGTGTGTGTGTATACATACATATGATTGAGCAGGATTTATTGTAAGTCAAAACAGTCTCAAATTTCTTAGGACAATACAGCTTCCTTGGCCATTCCCTTGGAGCTCTGAGTTGAGGAGCTGGTGATGTGTATTTCTTTTGCATGTTCTCCACATTATCCCTATGCAGGCCTTCCATGGGCTTGGTTTTGGAACCAGTGATGAGGAAGATCATTAGAATAGTTGTTCTCAAAAAGATTCCTCCATTCTTCTGTATAAGCAATGGCAATTTTCCCAGACCAATATTTCTTCTTTTGAAATGGTAAATTTTGAATATTAACTGGTTAGTATAATCCCATAAAATAACAAAGTTTGAGCCCTATGATCTGTGTTTTAGGCTCACGTTGTGTTTTATGCTAAATCATCATTTACTCCTTGTATGATCTTTTTTTTTTTTTTTTTGAGACAGAGTCTCACACTGTCACTCAGGCTGGAGTGCAGTGGCACAATTTTGGCTTACGGCAAGCTCCGCCTCCCAGGTGCACACCATCCTTCTGCTTCAGCCTCCTGAGTAGCTGGGACTACAGGTGCCCGCCACCACACCCAGCTAATTGTTTTTTAAAATTAAGGATGAAATAAAAGCTGCTCCCCTATATTACATTCATAAATCAGAATTATTAAAGCAAGCTATGTATTTATTAGAAACACATACTCCAAATTTAGCATCTAAGACATGACAGTCTTTCAAGAGACATCAATTTACTTTTTAGGGTCTATAGCTATATTTGTATTCATGTTATTGGTGTCCATATATTTCATTAGATGTTCTGGGTAAATTGATAAATGAAAATAATATATGTGATAAGGAGAACAACCTAGGCCTCCTGGAGGGCCCCTTACAACTCAGCTGGTGTTAGCAGAAATGCCTGGGTGTAACAGTGAGAAACAACCTTTCAAAAGTGTTGAGCAATTTTTCAGGCAGAGGAATATGTATACCAATCCAGGCAGCAAGATAAGTGGAGGTCAGTTAAAAGATCAGGGTGTAATTAAATTTTTTTTTTTTAGGTTTCTACTGAGAGGAAATATAACACTCAGTTATTATTTTCTCCACATATCTCTGGTTATTTTGTCACAACCTTTTATGTAAGCTACTACCAGACACTGGGTTATCCAAGATCTATGGGTCGTATTCAATATTTGCTTTTCCCTCAACTACTAACACATTTGATTTCCTTTGTAACTTTCTCCCCTATTTCTCCTTTCAACCTGTTTTCTCCAACCACACTGAGTTAATAAGCCTCCTATATACTCTCATAACCTGTTTTATCTAAGGAGATTTCCTTTTTCTACTATTATACCCATCTCATTCCCTAATTTATTTATTCTTATTTCTCACTCTATTTTTTATTCTTTTAGGCACAGCTCATGTCTCATGACTTTCAAAAAGTTTTTCTTCTGATATTCCCAGCTCGAATTAGGTACATCCCAATCAGTTTCCTTAGTCTTACAACTCTGCATATTATTGGCTTGCAATCTGTCTTAGGCTGGGAATTAGCTCCTTGTAGGCAGGGGCTAGAATTTATTTACTCTTATGTCCATAATGCCTGACACAGGAACTATTCTCACATACAAATTGTAGGGCCATAATTCCTGAGAACATATGTACATTGTAGTGACTCATAAAGGCTTGAAATAAATTTTTAAAATGATTAATTGGGAAGTCCATGAACTTGACATCTTGATGTAGAAGAAAAGCAAGGGCAGATGAAGAAGTTATACAGGATACTTGAAATACCAGAAGAATATAATCAGAGAGCAATAAATTAATCCTAGATTTTTAGATGTGAAGAAGTTCTGAGAAATATTTGAAGACATGGCTCTAGGGATGAGTACATAACAGAGACCAGTAGCCAGAGTCAGAGTTTTTCAGAGTGAAGAAATTGCATTGCAGGGGGAAGGACTCTTGTATACTAAATAGAAATTGTCATTAAATGGAGACTAAGCAAGAGGCTGATGATCTGTGGATGACAGACGCAGAAAGGTGTGGAGATAGAGGTAAATGCCATAATCTACAAAGAAGATATTTTTGTGCCAGAAAGAAATAATAGGTCTAGAACGTAATAAAAGATAAATAGTTAACTACATTGCAATGTGGTCTGAGAACTCACTGAAGGCATAGCCATTGATATTAACTTCCACTTCGCTTCCAGACAAAAGATTTTAAATATCTTAAAAATTCCATTTGATATTGTATGATTCATCAAGACAGAAAGTAAAGCTGTAGTTGCCCTGGGAGGGCGGGGAATGGGGAGTCACTTTTTAATGGGTACAGGATTTCAATTTTACAAGACAAAAAGAATTATGGAGATGGGTGGTGGTGATGCTTGCACAACATTGTGAATACATTTAATGACACTGAATTGTATACTTAACAGTGGTTAAGATGCAAATTGTTGAGTGTGTTTTGCCACAGTTAAAAAACGGGAAAAGAATAGTATTTGAAGATATAGCCCATTTCATCTGGTAGCTAGCTGTATGTGTCTGCTCAGCTGTGGATAGATATTTATGCTGTTTCTGAACTGGAGGTTACTGGTATTCTCTAAGGTATAGGAAAATTGATCTTATGTGGCTAACTGAGGTGGATATGGTTGTATCAGTCAGACAGTAATGATATATTCATGATAGTTTACATTTAACACAACTTACATGTGTTATACTTTAGAAAGCACTTCATTCATATTATTACTTCATACCATTTTCCCCTTACCATATTTGTCTCTCGTTTCTCTGCTGACTTCAGAAAATGTCTCTTCCACACTACTCAATTCATCTCCTTATTTTGTCAAAATTTTAAGTCTCAGAGTCTCCAAAAAAAATTCCAGACAAGTCTCATGAGCTTTCAGTCATTGATTAATCGATATCCTTAGAGGCTTTCCCTTCCCCTTCTCAATTTAACATAGCTTCCAAATACACTTGCCAGTAAAAAAAGTTGTTTATATGGTTTTGTATTTCTTCCTGCTGAATTATGAACATTTTTTCATATTGACATTGATTTCCATCTGGCCATGAAATACTCAAGGTGAAGAAAATGAAACAAAATTGTTAATATTTATCAAGAGCCAGGTACTGTTTTCGGTGTCCTAGAAGCATAAACTAGTGTAACGCTCACCAGATCATATGAGAGGCAAAAATGGATGAAACTATAAAATCAAGACACAGAGAGTTAAAGGAAATTTCCCAAGATCACACAGCCACTGAGGATATGAACTAGATTTTGACTTCAGGCTATTTACCCCAGAACCTGTGCTTTCAACCATTATTTGTACTGCTTCCCTAAATTACTCTTGAGTACACTGTGACATCATATTTCACCTATGACACTGATTATCTGGGGAACTTTGCAACTTATTCTGAATGTGATTCAGTTTTCTTTTCTGTACAGAGATAAAGTCAGTATATACTCCATAGATTCGTTATAAGGATTATATGAAATGACACATGAGAAGGCTTTAAAAGGACTTGGAAAGAAATAAGCTTTTTTGTTTTCAATCATTTTTCAATAGGTTATCAGTGTTGTGAATGGTTCATGAAAAATGACTTTGGGCTCAGTGAGTAACTGAAATGTTGTTGCTTAATAGTGTGTTTAATATTAATATAATAGTAACAAATGTTGTTATTGTTGAGTAATACTTATTTGGCTTTTCACTGCTTTTCTTTTCTAGTGTTTTAGTCAGAGACTTCTTAAGTCTCCTCAAGTGTGTACACATTTCTTAAATTTGTTGGAAAGTACCAAATTTAAGATATCTTGCATTTTTTTCTTCCTTAGTAAACACTAAATTCCATCACGCAGCAGAAAAAGGGCTCTGTTATTGTTGGCACAATGGCTTAATATTCACTTTTATTCCCTGTATCGTAGTTCTGATATAATTGCTATTTAGAATAAAACTTGTTCCTTATTATATGCATTCGTAATTATAAAATTTGTGTTTTAATGCCTTCTACACATATACTGTGCTTTTCTTTATTTCCTTATATCTCTTACTGTTTCATGATCCTGGTATTTGAATTCTCATTAAGTGTTCTTTGGGGATTTGCTGGGAATGTCATCTACATAGTAATGTCTCAAGTTTGTAGCATCTTTAAAACATAATAGGAGATGGAATTCACGGCAGAGTAATAACCCTCCCACTTTAGGCAATGTATTTGTGATTGGTATGACTTTGTTCCCAGAGGGCAGTTAGCAACACAATATTAAGGCTATGTGTACAAGGAAAACAAATTTTAAAAATCTCCTTTAAAAAAAAACAGTTCCCGATCCTAACCAGTATCATGCACAGAATCCGTTTCCACCTCTTCATATGGAAGCAGCTCTGGGTGGACATCTAGAAAGTTGGATAACTATTTATCACATATGATCTGTAAAGGGAGAGATTTACAAGAAAGTGTTAAATTTAATCCATAGGAAAGCAAAATCAAAAATCAATGAATTTTCCATTTGTAGTTTTCCCTAGGGGCTCCACTCTCTAGATGGCTTAAATGCGTTAGAATTAAATGACTAGGCACAATTGTTTGTTAGTGACATAAAAGCAAGGTAAGCATTTCTGCTTTATGAGTCCAAGCACAGGGACACTTGATTTTCTTTGGAAGGATATCATAAAGGCAATGTTTATGAGTAATCCCTCATTGTCTTTCCTTCTGTAGCATTCAATGGTATGTAATATAATTTAGAAATGAAAACTACTTAAAGACCACTTGCTAAGTTTCATGTATTTCAAATTCTCAGATCCTGAGTGTTTAAATATGCCTATATTTCTTCATGAAAAAAACATAATCTTTGCCAAGTTAGAAAAAGAAAGTCATATTCCCATTTTTCACTCAATGTAATCAGAAATTTGGACAGTTTTTAGCCTTCAATACATTATGTAATTTAGGTAACAGGCTGAATAAAAGTAAGGAACTTCAGTTAAATTCAGAGAGAAGCTAGTAATTATTTCTAAGACTCGAATGTATAGAACAGATTTCTGATATTAAGGATAAGACCCTCAAAGGTGACCCAAAATGGGTAATTGTGGGATTATTTTGGGAGAAATCATCATAGATTCTTACTGCTATAAATACAGTCAAATGTCAGATAAATATACTCCACTGAAATGTTTTCTAGGAATGATGTTGGAACCAATGTTGGTAAATTTGAAAGTCATGGAGAGGATTTCAGATGATAGAAGTCGGGCAACTATCCCAGGTTTAAGAAATAAGCAAATGGTGACTTCCAAAAATGCTGTATCAATGAGCCTCACATTGATCCTGAGCACAATTTCAGGAAGGTCCATTAAATGGGTCTTTGGAGAGCACTTAGGATAAAAGGCTGGCAGCAGGGATTCACTAAGACCAATGGTGCCAAGCTTGCCTCTTTGACATTGTTATCTGACTGATAAAGGTAGGCTATAGTGGTACACAATACAGATATTTCCAGGGTAAAGCTGTTGAGCTGCTGTAATTTTCCTTGCCTCTTCACTATCTTCTCCTATAGTTGACTCCCAAGGAAAAGATAGTTGACTTTTAATCTAGAAATGTATGTTAATTGGCAAAAACAAAAAAATGAAACCAAAAACTATCCTTTAGGCTTCTCTCTGCTCAGTTATTAGATCATATTAATGTGCCCTTAGGAAACACAGAAGGCCCACACTATTATAGAGACAAATTTCTTACATTCTCTGCTGTTTAATGCTCTTCAAAAGACTTACCATACTTCGCTAATTTGATTACCAACTACTTGAACACAGGGACCAATGTGCTTATTAAAAATTTTGCATATTATGAGGACACTAACTTTTAAGTATTCGATTGTTAAGACAATGCATGTTATTATAAACCATAGAAGGCACACTTATTACCTCCTTAAGAACCAGTCTCTATTTCTCTGGTTCATAGAACTCCAAGGTCATAGAGGGATTGGACATTTGTGTCTTCAATTGGCCCTCTTCAGCCCTAGGATAAATAGTGATTAATCTAAGTCAATGGTTTTCGGCTCTGTCTGACCCAATGCCTCTACTTCATAAGAAATTCTTCAAAGACCCCTTCATTATTCTAAACTATTAGTGAGAACACAATGTATGCATTCAAGTTGTTGAAAATATTAATGTTATGCTGAAGCTAACAAAGGAGAAATAATTTACTGTCAATATATGATCCAAAATGTATATAATTGTGCCAGAACATTTACATATCAAATACAATAGAACATAATGAAATTTTCATATCTTCGCCCATACCTTGAAACATTGTAAATAAAAAGCTACAAATATAGTTTCATTGAATAACCAAATGCCAAAACTGCCATTTCTGTTTTTGACATGATTGATCTGCATTGGTAAATGTAATAGATACTTTCTGTTTGGCCCTTGTCCCCTGTTATACTCCCCTATTTACTGGCTTTTGTCCAAGTGGAATGGTCCATATTGAATATCTCAATCTGTTCCCTTGCTCATTGCCTTCTATGCATGTTCATGAGATTAAAGGGAAGGAGGAAATGGGATTGGGGGTTATTGCCTAAACTCCCTCTCTGCTAGGTCTCCTTGACCAATCTTTTTCATAAGAAAATTAGTGTTTCCTTGCGTGATCAGGGAAGTTTACTCCCCAGAACTCTGCCTGCTGCTACTAACCCAGAGTTATTGTGGGGTGTGATTTCTGTGATTCCTTCACCCTTCTCCCCTGACATTTTCGTAAGTAGTCTCTTTGGAAATAAACCCATGTTAAATTATCTTAGTTTGAGTGTGTTCTGTTTTTCCTATTGAGACTCTGAAATGAGTATCTAAATGAAAAAACCTATCATCTTTTCTCATATACATAGTAGTTTCATTCTTGCAAAATTCATGGCATATTAAAACCATGCAAAAGTACTTGGCACTTAGGCAGTTACATTTGGGATTGTATAATTAAACAAAGCAGGTTATTCACCTTCATTACATTAGAAAGTCATTCAGGACATACAGCAATCCTTAATTAGGAACGGCTATCCCATGTTACTGGACATACGGCATCCCTGTTTTCCAATCCTTAAAGTTTTTCCTTAAAGTTCCAAAATGCCATCACTTATTATTTCCTGCCATTGGATTTTGTCACATGAAGTTGTAAGGCTGGGAATGCCATAGCCATCTTGAAAACATAGGTAGAAAGATAAGAGAATCACAAAGTGGATCATGTTGAATTAACTAAGCATTGATACCATCTATTTGTTGTGCGATTTGGTAAAAGTTGCTCCTTGTTTTTTTCTTTAATTAGTTGACTATTCTGTTACTTGAAGCTAAAAACTTTTTTTTCTTTTCTTTCCTTCTTTTTTTTTTTTTTTTGACAGAATCTTACTCTGTTGCCCAGGCTGGAGTGCAGTGGCATGATCTTGGCTCACTGCAACCTCTGCTTGCCTAGTTCAAGCAATTCTCACACCTCAGCCTCCCTAGTAGCTGGGATTACAGGCACATGCCACCACACTCAGATGATTTTTGTATTTTTAGTAGAGATGGGGTTTCACCCTGTTTGCCAGGCTGGTCTCAAACTCCTGACCTCAAGCGATCTGCCCACCTCAGCCTACCAAAGTGCTGGGATTACAGGTGTAAGCCACTGACCCTGCCCAAAAACATTTTAACCAATAGCAAAGCACATTATTTCATTACATTTTTTCAAAAGTTGCCAGTAATTTCAATTAAAAATATATATAACATGTTTAATGCAATACAAATGCTTTTCAATGTACAATGGGGTTAAGTCTTGATAAGCTGATTATAAATTGAAAATACAGTAAGTTAAAAATGTATTTAATACCTAACTTACTGAATATCACAGCTTAGCCTGGCATACATTTAATGTGCTCAGGACACTTACATCAGCTGACAATTGGGCAAAATCATTGAATACAAAACCCACTTTATAATAAAGTATTGGATATTTTATGTAATTTGTTGAATATTGTACTGAAAGTGAAAAGCAGAATGGTTATCTTCTATTCAAAGCTATCACTTTTGCTTCATCATAAAGTAAAAAAAATCATAAATTGAACCATTATAATTTGTTGACCATCTGTGTATATGTATGTGTGTGTGTACCTATATAAACATGTATGTTTATATATATATTTGTGTGTATATATCCTCGGTGTGTGGGTATGTGTGTTTGAGAGTGTGTGTGTGTGTGTGTGTGTATGAAATTGTAGGAAAGTAAAATTTCTTATCTTATAGATATAGCATGTTAACATGTTGGTACCTATCTTCCTGAGATGTAAAATTTTACATGGATAGATGTGTACATTTACTGTTGTACACAAAGAGAAACATATTCTGTAGGCTCTTTGTTTTTCTGTAATTTCATTCAACACTATCTTGTTTATATGGATGATTACATATATAATGCTAGGATGAAGGTTCTTCTCTATAACTTTGAAACTTCCTTGATTATCAACCCTTGGTATATTCTTAGAATAGGATTTTATTTTAGAATTAAGATCCTTGTTTCAGGACTCTAGACTGTTAACACACAGAGCCAATAATTATTCAGAATGGTTGGGTTAGTTCACATTCCCACAGATGAGACATCAAATGTCCAGGCTGCACAGCCTCATTAACACTAAATTTTCTGGACATTTTATGTAGTATTTCATCTGATATAAAAAGTAGAATTCTAATTTAATTATGGTTGTTAATTTATTTTTATCTTTTTAGTCATTATGAAAATGTTTAACTATATGAAAAGCTAGGAAAGAGTTTTATTTTTTAAGATAGTACTTCAGAAATATTTGTGATACTTAATTTTTAAAAATTAACTCTAAAAAATCTTGAAATGTCTGTTTAATGAAATAGGACATAAATACTGGTCATATTAGTGAAAAATATTTGTTTAAAATTAAAATATCTGCAGCAATCCTGTAGATATTAATAATTTTTAAAGAATGACATCTTTAAAATATAAATGTTCTAAACTTATAATCAGTTAAATATGTCTCTATTAATACATATAGATACATATATCTAAATAAATTTGAAGACTTCAAATTCCAGGTACAATATAATTCTTTTCTAACCTGTGATTTGTCATTCAGTATTTTGTAATTTGAACAGAAATATTTTGCCCTAACCACATGTCTGTATTTTCTCTCACCTAGAAATGTTATTTTATGCAAAATTGTTTTAAAGGTCAGTTTGCATGTTTGAAAACATCTTGTAGAATGTTACATAATATATTGCATATTTGGTTACATTATTTTAACTGTGAAAATATGGTTTAAATCTATGATGCTCTTTAGTGCTGATCATGATGCAAAGCAAATTTATCTGTATAAAAGTCTCCTGTTAATTTTTTTTTATTATTATATTTTAAGTTTTAGGGTACATGTGCACAACGTGCAGGTTTGTTAGATATGTATACATGGGCCATGTTGGTGTGCTGCACCCATTAACTCGTCATTTAACATTAGGTATATCTCCTAATGCTATCCTTCCCCCCTCCCCCCACCCCACAACTGTCCCCAGTGTGTGATGTTCCCCTTCCTGCATCCATGTTTTCTCGTTGTTCAATTCCCACCTATGAGTGAGAACATGTGGTGTTTGGTTTTTTTCCTTGCAATAGTTTGCTGAGAATGATGGTTTCTAGCTTCATCCATGTCCCTAAAAGGGACATGAACTCAACATTTTTTATGGCTGCATGGTATTCCATGTTTTATATGTGCCACGTTTTCTTAATCCAGTCTATCATTGTTGGACATTTGTGTTGGCTCCAAGTCTTTGCTATTGTGAATAGTGTCACCATAAACATACATGTGCTTGTGTCTTTATAGCAGCATGATTTATAATCCTTTGGGTATATACTCAGCAATGGGATGGCTGGGTCAAATGGTATTTCTAGTTCTAGATCCCTGAGGAATCACCACACCGAGTTCCACAATGGTTGAACTAGTTTACAGTCCCACCAACAGTGTAAAAGTGTTCCTATTTCTCCACATCCTCTCCAGCACCTGTTGTTTCCTGAGTTTTTAATGATGGCCATTCTAACTGGTGTGAGATGGTATCTCACTGTGGTTTTGATATGCATTTCTCTTATGGCCAGTGATGATGAGCATTTTTTCATGTGTCTTTTGGCTGCAAAATGTCTTCTTTTGTGAAGTGTCTGTTCATTTCCTTTGCCCACATTTTGATGGGGTTGTTTGTTTTTTTCTTGTGAATTTGTTTGAGTTCATTGTAGATTATGGATATTAGCCCTTTGTCAGATGAGGAGGTCGCAAAACTTTTCTCCCATACTGTAGGTGGCCTGTTCACTCTGATGGTGGTTTCTTTTGCTGTGCAGAACCTCCTTAGTTTAATTAGATCCCATTTGTCAATTTTGGCTTTTGTTGCCATTGCTTTTGGTGTTTTAAACATGAAGTCTCTGCCCATGCTTATGTCCTGAATGGTATTGCCTGGTTTTTCTTCTAGGGTTTTTATGGTTTTAGGTCTAACATGTAAGTCTTTAATCCATCGTGAATTAATTTCTGTATAACGTGTAAGGAAGGGATCCAGTTTCAGCTTTCTACATATGGCTAGCCAGTTTTCCCAGCACCATTTATTAAATAGGGTATCCTTTCCCTAGTTCTTGTTTTTGTCAGGTTTGTCAAAGATCAGATAGTTGTAGATAAGTGGCATTATTTCTGAGGGCTCTGTCCTGTTCCATTGGTCTATATCTCTGTTTTGGTACTAGTACTATGCTGTTTTGGTTACTGTAGCCTTGTAGTATAGTTTGAAGTCAGGTAGCATGATGCCTCCACCTTTGTTCTTTTGGTTTAGGATTGACTTGGCAATGTGGGCTCTTTTTTGGTACCATATGAACTTTAAGTAGTTTTTTCCAATTCTGTGAAGAAAGTCATTGGTAGCTTGATGGAGATGGAATTGAATCTATAAATTACCTTGGGCAGTATGGCCATTTTCACGATATTGATTCTTCCTACCCATGAGCATGGCATGTTCTTCCATTTGTTTGTATCCTTTTTTATTTCATTGAGCAGTGGTTTGTAGTTCTCCTTGAAGAGGTCCTTCACTTCCCTTGTAAGTGATATTCCTAGGTATTTTATTTTCTTTGAAGCAATTGTGAATGGGAGTTCACTCATGATTTGGCTCTCTGTTTGTCTGTTATTGGTGTATAAGAATGCTTGTGATTTTTGCACATTGATTTTGTATCCTGAGACATTGCTGAAGTTGCTTATTAGCTTAAGGAGATTTTGGGCTGAGACAATGGGGTTTTCCACATACACAGTCATGTCATCTGCAAACAGGGACAATTTGACTTCCTCTTTTCCTAATTGAATGCCCTTTATTTCCTTCTCCTTCCTGATTGCCCTGGCCAGAACTTCCAACACTATATTGAATAGGAGTGGTGAGAGAGGGCATCCCTGTCTTGTGCCAGTTTTCAAAGGGAATGCTTCCAGTTTTTGCCCATTCAGTATGATATTGACTGTGGGTTTGTCATAGATAGCTCTTATTATTTTGAGATACATCCTATCAATCCCTAATTTATTGAGATTTTTTAGCATGAAGGTTTGCTGAATTTTGTCAAAGGCCTTTTCTGCATTTATTGAGATAATCATGTGGTTTTTGTCTTTGGTCCTGTTTATACGCTGGATTACATTTACCGATTTTCATATGTTGAACCAGCCTTGCATCCCAGGGATGAAACCCGCTTGATCATGGTGGATAAGCTTTTTTATGTGCTGCTGGATTCGGTTTGCCAGTATTTTATTGAGGATTTTTGCATCAATGTTCATCAAGGATATTGGTCTAAAATTCTCTTTTTTTTGTTTTGTCTCTGCCAGGCTTTGGTATCAGGATGATGCTGGACTCATAAAATGAGTTAGGGAGGATTCCTTCTTTTTCTATTGATTGGAATAGTTTCAGAAGGAATGGTACCAGCTCCTCCTTGTACCACTGGTAGAATTCGGCTTTGAATCCATCTGGTCCTGGACTTTTTTTGGTTGGTAAGTTATTAATTATTTCCTCAATTTCAGAGAGTGTTATTTGTCTATTCAGAGGTTCAACTTCTTCCTGGTTTAGTCTTGGGAGAGTATATGTGTCAAGGAATTTATCCATTTCTTCTAGATTTTCTAGTTTATTTGTGTAGAGGTGTTTATAATAGTCTCTGATTGTAGTTTGTATTTCTGTGGGATCGGTGGTGATATCCCCTTTGTCAATTTTTATTGCATCTATTTGATTCTTCTCTCTTTTCTTCTTTATTGGTCTTGCTAGTGGTCTGTCAATTTTGTTGATCTTTTCAAAAAACAGCTTCTGTATTCATTGATTTTTTGAAGAGTTTTTTGTGTCTCTATTTCCTTCAGTTCTGCTCTGATCTTAGTTACTTCTTGCCTTCTGCTAGCTTTTGAATGTGTTTGCTCTTGCTTCTCTAGTTCTTTTAATTGTGATGTTAAGATGTCAATTTTATTTCTTTCCTGCTTTCTCTTGTGGGCATTTAGTGTTGTAAATTTCTCTCTTCACACTGCTTTGAATGTGTCCCAGAGATTCCGGTATGTTGTGTCTTTGTTCTTGTTGGTTTCAAAGAACATCTTTATTTCTGCCTTCATTTCCTTATGTACCCAGTAGTCATTCAGGAGCAGGTTGTTCAGTCTCCATGTAGTTGAGTGGTTTCGAGTGAGTTTCTTAATCCTGAGTTGTAGTTTGATTGCACTGTGGTCTGAGAGACAGTTTGTTATACTTTCTGTTCTTTTACATTTGCTGAGGAGTGCTTTACTTCCAACTATGTGATCAATTTTGGAATAGGTGTGGTGTGGTGCTGAAAAGAATACATATTCCATTGATTTGGGATAGAGAGTTCTGTAGATGTCTATTAGGTCTGCTTGGTGCAGAGCTGAGTTCAATTCCTGTATATCCTTGTTAACTTTCTGTCTCGTTGATCTGTCTAATGTTGACAGTGGGGTGTTAAAGTCTCCCATTATTATTTTGTGGGCGTCTAAGTCACTTTGTAGATCACTAAGTACTTGCTTTATGAATCTGGGTGCTTCTGTATTGTGTGCATATATATTTAGGATAGTTAGTTCTTGTTGAATTGATCCCTTTACCATTATGTAATGGCCTTCTTTGTCTCTTTTGATCTTTGGTGGTTTAAAGTCTGTTTTATCAGAGACTAGGATTGCAACCCCTGCCTTTTTTTGTTTTCCATTTGCTTGGTAGATCTTCTTCCATCCCTTTATTTTTAGCCTATGTGTGTCTCTGCAGGTGAGAAGGGTTTCCTGAATACAGCACACTGATGGGTCTTGACTCTTTATCCAATTTGCCAGTCTGTGCCTTTTAATTGGAGCATTTAACCCATTTACATTGAAGGTTAGTATTGTTATGTGTGAATTTGATCCTGTCATTATGATGTTAGCTGGTTATTTTCCTCGTTAGTTGATGCAGTTTCTTCCTAGCCTTGATGGTCTTTACAATTTGGCATGTTTTTGCAGTGGCTGGTACCAGTTGTTCCTTTCCATGTTTATTGCTTCCTTCAGGAGCTCTTTTAGGGCAGGCCTGGTGGTGACAAATTCTCTCAGCATTTGCTGGTCTGTGGAGTATATTATTTCTCCTTCACTTATGAAGCTTAGTTTAGCTGAATATGAAATTCTGGGTTGAAAATTCTTTTCTTTAAGAATGTTGAATATTGGCCCCCACTCTCTTCTGGCTTATAGAGTTTCTGAGGAGAGATCAGCAGATTGTCTGATGGGCTTCCTTTTGTGGGTAACCTGACCTTTCTCTTGGCTGCCTTTAAAATTTTTTCATTCATTTCAACTTTGGTGAATCTGACAATTATGTGTCTTGGAGTTGCTCTTCTCGAGGAGTATCTTTGTGGCATTCTCTGTATTTCCTGAATTTGTATGTTGGCCTGCCTTACTAGATTGGGGAAGTTCTCCTGGATAATATCCTGCAGAGTGTTTTCCAACTTGGTCCCATTCTCCCCGTCACTTTCAGGTACACCAATTAGACATACATTTGGTCTTTTCACATAGTCCCATATTTCTTGGAGGCTTTGTTCATTTCTTCTATTCCTTTTTCTCTAAACTTCTCTTCATGCTTTATTTCATTCATTTCGTTTTCCATCGCTGATAATCTTTCTTCCAGTTGATCACATCGGTTACTGAGGCTTATGCATTTGTCATGTAGTTCTTGTGCCATGGTTTTCAGTTCCATCAGGTCCTTTAAGGACTTCTCTGCATTTGTTATTCTAGTTATCCATTCGTCTAATTTTTTTTCAAAGTTTTTAACTTCTTTGCCACTGGTTCGAACTTCCTCCTTTAGCTCGGAGTACTTTGATCTTCTGAAGCCTTTCTCTCTCAACTCGTCAAAGTCATACTCCATCCAGCTTTGTTCCATTGCTGGTGAGGAGCTGCATTCCTTTGCAGGAGGAGAGGCACTCTGATTTTTAGAGTTTCCAGGTTTTCTACTCTGTTTTTTCCCATCTTTGTGGTTTTATCTTCCTTTGGTCCTTGATGATGGTGACATACAGATGGGGTTTTAGTGTGGATGTCCTTTCTGTTTGTTAGTTTTCCTTCTAACAGTCAGGACCCTCAGCTGCAGGTCTGTTGGAGTTTACTGGAGGTCTACTCCAGACACTATTTGCCTGGGTATCAGCAGCGGTGGCTGCAGAACAGTGGATATTGGTGAACTGCAAATACTGCTGCCTGATCATTCCTCTGGAAGTTTTGACTCAGAGGGGTACCCGGGCATGTGAGATGTCAGTCTGCCTCTACTGGGGGGTGCCTCCCAGTTAGGCTACTCAGGGGTCAGGAACCCACTTGAGGAGGCTGTCTGCCCATTCTCAGATCTCAAGCTGCATGCTGGGAGAACCACTACTCTCTTCAAAGCTGTCAGACAGGGATATTTAAGTCTGCAGAGGGTATTGCTGTCTTTTGTTTGTCTGTGTCCTGCCCCCAGAGTTGGAGCCTACAGAGGCAGGCTGGCCTCCTTGAGCTGTGTTAGGCTCCACCCAGTTCGAACTTCCTGGCTGCTTTGTTTACTTACTCAAGCCTGAGCAATGGCGGGCGCCCCTCCCCCAGCCCCACTGTAACCTTGCAGTTTGATCTCAGACTGCTGTGTTAGCAAACAGCGAGGCTCCGTGGGTGTAGGATCCTCCAAGCCAGGTGCTGGATACAATCTCCTGGTGTGCCATTTGATAAGCCTGTTGGAAAAGCGCAGTATTAGGGTGGGAGTGACCTGATTTTCCAGGTGCCATCTGTCACCCCTTTCTTTGACTAGGAAAGGGAATTCCCTGACCCCTAGTGCTTCCCAGGTGAGGTGATGCCTTTCCCTGCTTTGGCTCATGCATGGTGCGCTGCACCCACTGTACAGCACTCCCCAGTGAGATGAACCTGGTACCTCAGTTGGAAATGCAGATATCACCTGTCTTCTGCATCACTCACGCTGGCAGCTGTAGACTGGAGCTGTTCCTATTCGGCCATGTTGCCTCCATCCTCTAATTTTTAACTTTCAACTGATTAGATACATTTACCCTCTTCTGAATTTTAATTCCTGATGAAAAGATTGTGAAATCTCAAGAGGATAATGAATCAGCTTCTGATTATATTCTGGAATTACGATTTGATCACCCATCCAAGAATGCGTATTCACTTTCCTTTACATTACACACGTGCATAATACCATGCTGAGTGATGCTGGAAAAAGTGAGTCTTCAGTAATGCCCTCATGAAATTACAGTCTCACTACACCGAGGTATTTTCTTTTTAACACTTTTTTTCTTTTCTGCTGTGAATATGTGCCTTCTAAGAGGTGAACAACTGGGAAAAACTGAAAAAGAACCTTCATCTAATTCAGTAACTAGCTTTTGTATCTTCTAAGAATTTTTATCTCCAGAAAGCTCTAATCTTCATTCCTTTACAAGCTTTATTTCTCTCTCCTTTCCAACACCAGACTTTTCTCTGTTTGTTTTCTATAACTTTTTTAGAGATGCCTACAATAGAAAAAAACTATGACATATTCAATACATCTGAAAAGTTTGCATTGCCATAGATAAGAATGAATTATCTGTTTATAAAGAAAAAAAACAATAAAAATATGAACCAAGAAAGCACAGAAGGTAGTAACCACATTTAGATGTTTATCATGGAATCATCTTTATAATCCATCTGTTACAATTCCACAGAGCAAATTACAAGTAATTGTGAAGTTTCCCCTCATTTTATAGGTTTGGTCTTATAAGGCATACAACACAAATTTTAATTACTTTTCTTTTTGGTATTTGGATCTTAATTTGGTGAAGTGGCCACTGGGTAGATGATGGAGCCTCTTGAGACATACAGTCTTCTTCTAGCTTTGTTGATGTAAATATTACGGTGTAGTTTTCATTCACTTATTATTTTACAAGGCATGCTTCATTAAAAACATGTCAGCATCTCATTGACAAATCACAAAATTTAAAAGGCACAAGAAAAAAAACAATTTATTTGAAACATTCCTGTGTAAAAGTAGTCACCACTCTTACTATTCTTCAAATATTTTTATTATATTTAAACACAAGCCTAGTTTTATCTTGAGTGTCTCACCTTGGTGATATTGTACACTTTAAACTTAGAAAAAGTTGAACTCTATTGGAAATTTCCTACAGATCAGCTTTTCTAGATGCCAAGCGCCTTGTTTCAGCTGCGGTGATGACAGCAAATTGGGTTCTCAGGGATTCTGGCCTCTGGCATCATCTCAGTTGTTTATAATTGAAGTTGGCTCTGATGAGAACTCAGCTTAGATGCATGGTTGGACTGCTGGGCTTAAGGCTGGCCTGCCAGGAGGTTGCATTGAGGTGTAACTAGGCAAAGAAAGAAGGAGTTTATTGAGGCACTACTGACAATAGCAAAGACTTGGAACCAACCCAAATGTCCAACAATGATAGACTGGATTAAGAAAATGTGGCACATATACACCATGGAATACTATGCAGCCATAAAAATGATGAGTTCATGTCCTTTGTAGGGACAAGGATGAAGCTGGAAACCATCATTCTCAGCAAACTATCACAAGGACAAAAAAACAAACACCACATGTTCTCACTCATAGGTGGGAATTAAACAATGAGTACACATGGACACAGGAAGGGGAACATCACACACCGGGGCCTGTTGTGGGGTGATGGGCTAGGGGAGGAAAAGCATTAGGGGATATACCTAATGTAAATGACGAGTTAATGGGTGCAACACACCAACATGTCACATGTATACATATGTAATGAACCTGCACGTTGTGCACATGTACCCTAGAACTTAAAGTAAAATAAAAAGAAAAGAAGGAGGTTGGGCAAAATTACCAACAATCTTCAACTATGAATTTTTATGAGTAGGGGCTTCCCACACCATCAAGCACTCCAAGTTGGAGAAACAAGGGATGTTGAATTGAAAGTTTAATTTTTTAGGCTTGATAGTCAGATTAGGGAAGTTTTGGGTACACCTTTCCCACTCTAGAGCCCTCTCCCTAACTCACGGCCAATTTGGGACATGGGCTCAATGGAAAAGAGTGCCGAGATCAATTAGAAATATCCTTCATGAACATAGGAGGCAGGCATTCTGGCCAAGGGGTGCGTCTTCCCACTTTGTAATCCAGAGTGCGATTTCTTCTTGCTATCTGTCCCTCCGTAAATAAGCTTTGGGTGAAGGACAAGGTAGTTACAACTGAGGATGGAATGAGATTCTAGCAGAATTGCAAAATGAACTGAGAGCCATGAAAATGTTCCTCTGTGAACCAGCAGAGAGATCTGTGGAAGGCAAAGGAAGAGGAACCAAGAGGCCAGATAATATTCCTGCTTCCCCTACATTGTGAGAGTGAAATTATCAGCAACGTATATCAGTAACTAACCAGAGGCTTTTTGGAGAGTAAGACTTCTGATAGATACCTCAATAGCTGAAGTTGCTCTTCAGTACTGCACATAACCTGTGGACAGATTTTCATCATTATTAATTCATTTATTCAACAGATAGATATTAAATTCAAGGCATAGTTCTAAACTATGCAGTCAATTACAAAAAAAATAATGAAGGGCATTAGCTGTGCCTCATAGGACGTTAAAATTCTAGGTGTTGAATGAGACAAATAGGGTTCCCACATCAAGTGCCTGGGCTCCTGTTATAACCTGGACTGTGCTTCCAATGACTTCTCTTGTTTCTGTTTTGGTAAACCCATCATTTGGCTTAGTCCTTATCCTTGCCATGCTCACCCACCAGTAGGTGGACCTCCTTGACCATAACTACAGGCATAGATCTTTGAGTTTCTTTTCAAATGTTTGCTTACTTTAGAGCTGCAGTCAAATGTTGTTTGGACCATAAGACTCTGAGGATGTGTGTGGTTGAAACTGTCTTGAGACTCAAAGAGCTGTTGAGGAAGGGATTTGGTAGCTGAACTTTTTTGAAGTTTTTCTCTGTCTCTCACAATCTGGGTCTGAATAGCTTAATATATTGTTTAATTTCTACATCAATGATAGTTTAATAGGCATTCATGAAAATCAGTTCTGCTGGGAGTTTATTATCCTACTCCAATAGCAAGTAACGCATTCCTTAAATTTAGTGTACGTATAAATTCTACATGGTAAGTGAAGCTGTCTTTATGAATTGCTGCTATAGAATATACTAGATTGTGTAGGTTTTAGTACAATCCAGGTAATTATCAAGGCTTTGTAATATTTTCAGGAAAGTGATCCTTTCACTTCAGTTTATGGAACTTGGAAAGTTTTCGGTTGCCGCCCACTTGTTAGATCATAAACTTAATTCTATTTGTCTGAATTTATTTTTCTATTTATAAATTTATCTGGATGTTTTCTCAAAGGTTTCCCAGATTAAAAACCTATGGCTTTGTAAAATTAAAACAGAAGTAATAAGAATTGTGTTAAAAAACAGAATCAGGCCAAGCATGGTGGCTTATGCCTGTAATGCCAACACTTAGGGAGGCCGAGACGGGAGGATCATTTGAGGTCAGGAGTTCAAGACCAGCCTGGGCAACATGGCAAAATGCCACCTGTATTAAAAAAATACACAAATTAGCTGGCGTGGTGGTGAATGCCTTTATTCCTAGCTACTCAGGAGGCTAAGGCAGGAGAATAGCTTGAACCCAGGAGGCTGAGGTTGCAGTGAGTCAAGATAGAGCCACTGCATTCCAGCCTGGGTGAGAGAGTGAGATCCTGTATTAAAAAAAAAAAAAGAAAAAAAGAAAAGAAAAATAAAGAAAACCAGAATCATACAATGAGAGAGATTGTATAGCCCTTTTAATTGTCCATAATGGATACATTTCTTTTTCTGTGTAATAGTTTATCAGCATGAAAATTTTCTTTTTCTGTGTAATAGTTTATCAGCATGAAAAACAAAGAGTCACTGAACACTGATAATTGTTTTTCTCTCTCTCTCTCATTTTTTCCTTTTTTTGGAGATGAAGTCTCACTCTGTTGCCCAGGCTGGAGTGCAATGGCAACATCTCTGTTCACTGCAACCTTCACATCCTGGGTTCAGGCGATTTTCCTGCCTCAGCCTCCCAAGTAGCTGGGATTCCAGGTGCATCCCGCCATGCCTGGATAAGTTTTTGTATTTTCAGTAGAGACGGGGTTTCATCATGTTGGCCAGGCTGGTCTCAAACTCCTGACCTCAAATGATCTGCCCGCCTTAGCCTCCCAAATTGCTGGTGATGATTTTCATTTAATGGTGTTCTACAAAGTGAGTTTAGGCAATGAAAGCGCACATGTCATCTATAGTTTACCAGAAAGTAGTACCGGTCACCAGCATTGAAGCATACTCCTAACACTGGAAAATTTCTTCAGCAGCCAGAATTAATCTCAGATTTCGAGACTGGAGCAAAGACTAATTTGATATGTGTTCATTCAGATTAGTAAATCTCCATGGTGTTTGAACTGTATAATATCAAATCTAAAATAAGTCAAAAGAGTTGAACAATATCTCATCTCTGAGAAAAAAATGCATTATTTTCAACAGATCTAAGACTGAATTTAAAATCCAACTGCCTATTCCAGTGTTTGTTTCTCTAGAATAAGGCCAAGCCCTACAAATTCTGGATAGTGTCCTCCAAGTTGTATTTAAGTGATAATTGATAAATCTATGGTTTACATACTTATGGAATTCCATATAACTCTAGCTCCAGCCTTTGTGAGTAAAAATTGGCAGTGATCATGGCCTTAATGAGGGCATGTGGTTAATTGGAATTTTCAGTACCAAAAGTCGTCTTCTTACTAGTTTATCAGGGTACCCTATAATAGTATCCATAACTCATTGCCCACTTGTCTGTTTTGATTTCTTTTTTAAAAAGACAATTTTAAACTTAGAGGATTTGTACCTCAAGTCACATATGTGGCACATTTATAAAATAATCATGCCTTTGCATATTTTTCCTTTGATAACTTAGCTATATATCCAAGCCATTTATGTTTTTTAATTGTCACAAATATTGCACTGAAATAGAGCACCAGTTGCAAAAATGCCTGGTGTAACATTTCTTCTTGTTCTTGAAAGTTATTTTAATACCCCATGTTTAAGATATTCCTAGACAACTATATGTAACTATAATTATTTCTGCTAGGTAGAAACATCTTTGTGGTCAACATTTGTGAAGTGCCTTGTAAATAAAAATATGCTTGAGTTGAAATAGTATTTTGCAAATATAGCCCTAAATAGAGCTACTGATTTTACCAAGAATTAAAGACTCCAAATTCTGTCTTTGTCTTTCAAATTAGGTTTATAGGAACATCTCATTACAATGAGCCAAAAGCCTATCTGATCATTAATGAGATAATTTTGACACTTCCAAATGACACAGTTAATTTGTAGTAGGTTTTTGAAGTGCAAATTACATGTTTCTGTTTAAATAATGACAGTAAAATATGGACACTATCTATTCACACTCTATATACACAACTACAACTTGTCTCTAGAAGAAAAGTTTAATTTTTCAGGTCTCATCCACAAAATGAAGTGTTAATAAGCTGTATCTTTATTCTCATTTTTAAGTAATTTCTTCTTAACCATTGTATAACACTACCACAGTTTGTATGGAGATAAAATAACTCATGGTGAGAAATCCAGTTCTTTAAAAATCATTTTACCTTCAATCACTTTTAGGATATCTATGGTTGTAGAGTAAGGATGAAAATTTATAAACATTAGTTAAATTATGCAACTGTTTTTGAAGATGTTTCAAAATTACATTTTCCTTATTTTACAACTAGTTTTCATGTATTCACAAATGAGACACATGAGAATTATTAATGCAAAAGCACAGCGTATCAACAAAGTTTATAATGTAAATAGTTTAGTTAGGAAAGAATGTAATGAGTGAATTATCAAAGCTATTTTATTGGTTCCTAGATTTACCATAGAAGAAAATAAAGCAGCCTTATAAAAATTTCTCAACACTGAGTCCATTTAAGGTCTATTTTGTATGCCGTAAGTTCTAAAAAATGTTATTGCCGGTAAAAATAGGATGCCTATCTAAAATTGTCTTTTTAAAGGTTCTTTCTTATTCTTCTTCCTTTCCTATGTGTGCACAGAATACTGTCATCATCTTGATTGGAACACTGTCTCTCTTTCTCAGAGGGTATACATTTGTAGAAGGGAGAAAATATTTGTTAATTTTGCTTCCTATAAGATAAGGTCTCAATGGTTGAAGGTCAGTTAACAAACATTTTTTTTTGTCTTCATACTATTATCTTGGAATTACCAACTGGCTTCTATTTAGATTTTGAATTATGAAAGAAAAGAACTAGCATTTGTTAGAACTTACTGTGTTCCAGGAACTTTATTGATACCATTTCTTCTCATTACCACATTTGTTCTTTCAATTCGTCTTATTTTTTTCCATCTTAATAAGGTGGGACCAGAGGTTTTGTAATATCCACTAACCCACTGTGGATTTCATGGCTTGCAAGAGGAAGAAAGCATGGTGGAACTCAGGTTTCTCTGATTGCAAATTCACATCCTTTCATGTCTCCATGAAAAATAAAAAGGATAAATTGGGCTCTATTCTAACAAGAGAAACACAATTTTCCGACAGTTAAATGAATAATTCTTAAACCTCAAAAATAAAACGTAGCAAAACCTCAATTCAAGAGTAGACATAAAGGTTGTGGCATGGGTAGAAGGGACTTATGTCTAGTGACATAGATTTGCTATGCATATCTGACCAAAAATCCCCCTCATGATTTTCAAATCAGATGCATAACTGCATTTAATGAGTTTCACGAATCATTAATATCAGGCTCTGAAAACAGGATCATTAAAAATGATTAAGATTTTCAACAACAAAGATTTTATCTAAATAGTAAGGAAATTATATTAGATGGCTCCATTCCCTGGGCAGTCTAGTTAATAATTCAACTTGTTCAAAGCTATAAAATATGGCAACTTAAAAAATTATGAAAGTTTTTCTAACTTTTTCTTAAGGTAGTTGGCCATTCTTCCTCTTGGGAATAAGAAGGGCAGATTTTCTGTCGAAGCATTTTGCTATTGCTTTTCAATTTCCATTTATGGAAAATAGATAATATAGCAATTTTTTAGTTATAAATTTAAAGTCAAAATGGAGATAATTAAGTATCTCCATTAATTAACTAAAGATTAATTTTTCAAAAAATAGCATTTACTAAATTCTAATCAATCGATTGACTATTTTTATCCCTGGCTCAATGTAACTCTCTTTGACATATTCTTGTCTTAATTCTAGTTTATGTCAACAATGTGTAATCAAAGATGACTCTTTGCCATTTTGATCTCTCAGTTCTATTAACACCTTTGATCTAACGATAATGTTTTCCAACAGAATTATTTCTACTCAAACTTCTGAGATGAAATTTGTGGATTTATTCTCACCCCAATCAATTTTTCAACTCTCAGGACACCAAATGGTGTCCTACAATTCAATTCAATCCTGAGACTATCTATCTGGAGATAGCATCAGATCCCACAAGTTCAGGGTTCAGGCCCACAAGACTGCCCCCCCCCCCACCATTAGAGAGGAGTTGTGGGCCTGTCATACTCCTGACCAACTGGCTATAAATTAGGACTTCCATGGATTCCTTTCCCAGGTTCTATAATTTGCTAAGATGGCTCACAGAACCCAAGAAAGCACTTTGCTTACAGTTACTGTCTGATACAAATCAGGAACTGTCAAATAGAAGAGACACATAGGGCCAGGTATGGTGAAAAGGGGCACAAAGCTGCCATATGACCTCTAAGTATATCATTGTATCACCCTCCCAGCACCTCAGAGGTGATGGAGGAGAGGGCTGACAGTTTTAACCATCTAGTTATGCCTTCATGTTTCTGGTGTCAAGCACCCACCTTGAAGCCATATGGGTCTCCAGCCACCACTCATGTCATGTCAATAGCATAAACTCAGGTATGGCTAAGAGGGACTTATGACTAGTAAAGGATGGTCCTCTCATCTCTATCAGGAAATTTCAAGTTTTAGGAGCTCTGTACTGTGAACCGGGGAGGAAGACCAAATAAGACATACACTAGACCAGTTGTGCTAACTACTGTGTGCCTCAAAATTGCCTACAGTTGTGTTACAATAAGAGATTGCTGAGACCTGCTATTGGAATTTCAGATTTGGAAGATCTGGGGGTGTAACCTGAGAATATGCAGTTCTAGTAAGTTCCCAGGTGATGCTGTTGCTGCTAGCACAGGGACCACACTTCCAGAGGGACTCAGTGAAGCATCGTCATTACTTATAATAGCAACTCCTCTGTAGTCACAATTTCATTCATCCCATTCTCTGAACTCCTCCTTTAATCATTCCCTTTCATACGCTGACATAAAATTTTTCAATCTCTCTGAGACCTCCAAACTATTATTTTATCATATTCATAATGACCCTTACCTACTGATGTACTCTATTTCCTGTTCTCCTGCCTAAATTCCGTGGCCAACCATTCCCAGGAAACTTCAACTTCCTTGTTTCTCTTTCACTTTGCTGAATCTAACCAGGAAAATAACCCTGGTTAGATCCAAATTTCCACCAAATCCCCACATATATTTTAGCAACTAGCTATATGGATCAAATTGAAAAATATCCCACTTGAAACTGAGAATCTGAGTGCCGCCTATCAATCAATCATACTACATATGTTCCAATCTATTCACTCTCTAATTTACCTAGTTTTGTATCTTATCCTGTCTCTAATCCCTAGCACTTCCCCAGAAATCCTCAATGTCTTTTTGGGTGTGCTTCCCTGAGAACATTGAATCACCCAAAGACAATTTCCACAGACTCCTGAAACCATTTAAACTCACTTTCCCATGTCTACACCCACATACTCTCCATTTTCACCTATTATTATCTGTGAAATAACTGGCCCCTATCTGTATATTGTCTGATGATGATTTCTATATTACAGGTGAAGAAAATGAGAATAGGGTTAGAGCTACTTTCTCATTATAGCATAGCTTAGAATCAAATCCACGCAGTCCACCACTGAAACTGGGGTTCCAAGTCAGTGTATTTGGAGAAGGAGAGCTAGTAGAAAAACAAGGATGAAAAGATC